>NC_000017.11:8066868-8218383 GCF_000001405.40 Homo sapiens | reverse complement strand
TTGGTGTCTGCTGAGGCCTCTCTTGCCGGCTTCTACATGCCGCCTTCTTGCAGTGTCCTCACATGGCCTTTCCTCTGTGCCGACAGGGAAAGAGAGAACTCTGGAGTCTCTCCCTCTTCTCCTAAGGATGCCAGCCCTGTAGGATTAGGATTCCACTCAAATGACCTCATTTAACCTTAACTACCTCCCTAAAGCTGTGTCTAGAAATACATTTACATTGGGTGTTAAAGCTTTATCATATGGATTTTGGAGAAACACAATTTCATCCATAACAACCACAGAAGAAAATGGTAGAGAAACAATATACCTAGACCTAATTCTTGAAAATATTTTTTTTTTGAGACGGAGTCTCTGTCTGTCGCCTAGGCTGGAGTGCAGTGGCGTGATCTCGGCTCACTGCAAGCTCCGCCTCCTGGGTTCACGCCATTCTCCTGCCTCAGCCTCCCTAGTAGCTGGGACTACAGGCACCCGCTATCACGCCCGGCTAATTTTTTTTTTGTATTTTTAGTAGAGACGGGGTTTCACCGTCTTAGCCAGGATGGTCTCGATCTCCTGACCTCGTGATCCACCCACCTCGGCCTCCCAAAGTGCTGGGATTTCAGGCATGAGCCACAGCGCCCGGCCTACTTCTTGAAATTTTACTGACCGGGCCTGGTGGCTCATGCCTGTAATCCTAGCACTTTGGGAGGCCGAGACGGGTGGATCACGAGGTCAGGAGATCGAGACCATTCTGGCTAACACGGTGAAACCTCGTCTCTACTAAAAATACAAAAAAAAAAAAAAAAAATAGCCAGGCGTGGTGGCGGGTGCCTGTAGTCCCAGCTACTAGGGAGGCTGAGGCAGAAGAATGGCGTGAACCCGGGAGGCGGAGCTTGCAGTGAGCTAAGATCGCGCCACCGCACTCCACCCTGGGGGACAGAGCGACACTCCGTCTCAAAAAAAAAAAAAAGAAATTTTACACTGGAACTCCACCTGTATGCCTTTTAGTTCATTTAAAAAAACATCATAAACAAATATAGCAAAATGTGTTAAGATTTGACTAATTTAATAGCAGTCACACAAGTGCCTTTAAAGTGTATTCCTGGATGGGTGTGGCGGCTCACGCCTGTAATCCCAGCACTTTGGAAGGCCAAGGTGGGTGGATCACCTGAGGTCAGGAGTTCGAGACCAGCCTGGTGAAAATGAGGAAACCCCTGTCTGTACTAAAAATACAAAAATTAGCTAGGCATGGTGGCCCACGCCTGTAATCCTGGGAGGCAGAGGTTGCAGTGAACCAAGATCACCCCATTGCACTCCAGCCTGGGCGACAAGAGCAACACTGTGTCTCAAAAAAAAAAAAAAAAAAAATTAGCCAGAATGGTGGCGGGCGCCTGTAATCCCAGCTACTTGGGAAGCTGAGGCAAGAGAATCGCTTGAACCGGGGAGGCAGAGGTTGCAGTGAACTGAGATTGCACTGCTGCACTCCAGCCTGGGCAACAAGAGTGAAACTCCATTTCAAAATAATAATAATAAGGCCGGGCGTGGTGGCTCATGCCTGTAATCCCAGCTCTCATGGAGGCAGAGGTGGGAGGATAGCTTGAGCCCAGGAGTTCGAGACCTGCTTGGGCAATATAGCGAGACCCTGTTCTCCACAAAAAGGAAGAAAAAAAAGACAAAATAATAATAATAATAAATAAATAAAAAAGAGCCGGGAGCGGTGGCTTCAGGCCTGTAATCCCAGCACTTTGGGAGGCTGCAGCAGGCGGATCACGAGGTCAGGAGTTCGAGAACAGCCTGACCAACATGGTGAAACCCCATCTCTACTAAAAATACAAAAATTAGCTGGGCATGGTGGCACACGCCTGTAGTCCCACCTACTTGGGAAGCTGAGGCAGGAGAATCACTTGAACGCAGGAGGCAGAGGTTGTGGTGAGCTGAGATCATCATGCCACTGCATTCCAGTCTGGGAAACAGAGCAAGACTCCATCTCAAAAAAAAAAAAGATATTTTATAATTTTTTGTGGTAAATTATACTTAACATAAATTTTACCATTTTAACCATTTTAAAGTGTACAATTAAGAGTTTCTGGTATATTCTCACAGTGGTGCATCAATCATCACTATTTAATTCCAGAACATTTTAATCACCCCCCCCCCAAAAAGAAACCATTGGCACTCACTCTGTATTCCCCCTTCTCCCTTCCCCTAGTCTCTGGAAACCACTAATCTGTTTCTGTCCCAGTGGATTTGCTTATGCTGGATATTATGCTGGATATCGCATGTAAATGCAATCATATAATATGTGAACTTTCTATCTTTTTTTTTTTTTTTTGACGGAGTCTTGCTCTGTTGCCCAGGCTGGAGTGCAATGGCACGATCTTGGCTCACTGCAACCTGTGCCTCTTGGGTTCAACGGCTCTCCTGCCTCAGCCTCCTGAGTAGCTGGGACTACAGGTGCCCACCACCACACCTGGCTAATGTTTGTATTTTTTGTAGAGACGGGATTTCGCCATGTTGCCCAGGCTGGTCTGGAACTTCTGGGCTCAAGGGATCTGCCCACCTTAGCCTTCCAAAGTGCTGGGACTACAGCCATGAGCTGCTGTGCTCAGCTTAGCCTCTTTTGTTTATACTGTTTTCATGGTTTCCATGAAATAAAATATCAGTACTTCATTCCTCTTAGGACTAAGTAAGTTTCTATTTTATGGATATATGACATTTTGTTTATTCATTCACCAGTTGATGGACATTTGGGCTGCTTCCAACTTTTGGCTGTTGTGAATAACGCTGCTTCTGAATATTTATGATACTTCCTTTCAATTCTTTTTTTTTTCTTTTTTTTTTTTTTTTGAGATGAGTCTTGCTCTGTCACCCAGGCTGGAATGCAGTGGCATGATCTCAGCTCACTGCAACCTCCACCTTCCAGGTTCAAGAGATTTTCCTCCCTCAGCCTCTGGAGTAGCTGGGATTATAGGCACCCACCACCACACCTGACTAATTTTTGTATTTTTAGTAGAGATGGGGTTTCACTATGTTGGCCAGGCTGGTCTCGAACTCCTGACCTCATGATCCACCCGCCTCGGCCTCCCAAAGTGCTGCGATTACAGGCGTGAGCCACCGTGCCTGGTCCACACCTTCTTTTTAGGGATTATTTGTCATTAATATTTAATCCTGCAAACAGTTCCATGACTCTATACACCTTCTAAAAAATTAGAACATTAAAGGCAAAACTTAAGTCCCCTTTGATGACCAACCATCTCTGCCTGCTCCCTCCTCTCCACAGAAGAGACAATGGCAATGCAAATACATGAGGTATATTTCACTACGTTGATGTGCCGGCAGTTAAAGGTAAATTGATAGATTAAAGAAGCAAATTGGTGTAACCAAGTCCAAACTTGTTCTGAGGCTGCAATGAGCTATGATTGTGCAGCAAGAGTGCTTGCCTCGGACAAAAGAGACCTTCTCTTAAAAAAAAAAAAAAAAAAAGGCCAGGTGCAGTGGCTCATGCCTGTAATCCCAGCACTTTGGGAGGCCGAGGTGGATGGATCACAAGGACAGGAGTTCGAGACAAGCCTGGCCAATGTGGTGAAACCCCATGTCTACTAAAAATAAAAAAATTAGCTGGGAGTGGTGGTGGGTGCCTGTAGTCGCAGCTACTCGGGAGGCTGAGGCAGGAGAATGGCGTGAACCCGGGAGGCGGAGGTTGCAGTGAGCCGAGATCACACCACTGCACTCCAGCCTGGGCGATAGAGCGAGTCTCTGTCTCAAAAAACAAACAAACAAACTGTGTGTGTGTGTGTATATATATATATATATATATATATATCTTATCTTACCTCTTTCCTGTCTGTCCTGAAGCTGGCCATAAATAAATTCTCTGAACAATCTTGTTCAATTATAGGTCATAAGACCCCCATTTCAGAAGGTGGAAGGAATACTGCACAGAGAAGCCGGGAAGAATCTAGACAGGCCTTGCTGGGCTTCCCCACTCAGCCTATTAGTACTAGATCATACCCTCTTCGTCCAATCACATTTCTACACAGTCGTCATGCTTCAATCACACCTATTTAATGAAGTCTCCATAAAAGACCCAAGAGGATGGGGTAGAGAGAGCTTCCTGAGAGCTGAACCCGTGGAGCATCCTGAAGGGCGGCACACCTCAGAAGGGCATGGAAGTTCCATGCCCTTCCCACCTCCTTGCCCCGTGCATCTCTTCATCTGTATCCTTGGTCATATCCTTTATAAGGCCGGGCACGGTGGCTCACGCCTGCAATCCCAGCACTTTGGGAGGCCAAGACGGGTGGATCACGAGGTCAGGAGTTCGAGACCAGCCTGGCCAACGTAATGAAACCCCGTCTCTACTAAAAATACAAAAATCAGCTGGGCGTGGTGGCGAGTTCTCCTGCTGAGGCAGGAGAATCACTTGAATCCGGGAGGCAGAGGTTGCAGTGAGCCGAGATTGCACCATTGCACTCCAGCCTGGGTGGCAGAGAGACTCCATCTCAAAAAAAAAAAAAATCCTTTATAATAAACCAGTAAACATTTTTTCCTGAGTTCTGTCAGCCACTCTAGCAAATTCATTGAACATAAAGAGGGAATCGTAGGAACCCTAGCTTACACCCAGTTAGTCATGAGTACAGGTAAAAACAACCTGAGGCTTGCAGTTGGCATCCAAAGTGAGGGGCAGTCTTGTGGGACTGAGCCCTCAACCTATGGGATCTGATGCTCTCTCTGGGTAGATAGTGTCAGAATCTAATCGGAAGACACCCAGCTGATGTCTGCTGCAGAACAGATTGCTTGATTGCAGAACTGATTGCTTGGTGGTGCAGTAAAATCTCCACACATGTGGTCGCAGAAGTCTCCTGTGTTGATTGCTGTGGTGTGAGGGCAGAGGAAAAATTGGGTCTTTTTTTGTTTTTGTTTTTTTTAGACAGACTCTTGCTGTGTTGCTCAGGCTGGAGTGCAGTGGCGTGATCTCGGCTCACTGCAACACTCCCAGGTTCAAGCAATTCTTGTGCCTCACTCAGCCTCCTGAGTAGCTGGGACTATAGGCACCCGCCACCGCAACTGGCTAATTTTTTTTTTTTTTTCGAGACGGAGTCTAGCTCTGTCACCCAGGCTAGAGTGCAGTGATGCGATCTCAGCTCCCTGCAACCTCCGCCTCCCAGGTTCAAGCGATTCTCTTTCCTCAGCCTCCCAAGTAGTTGGGATTACAGGCGCCTGCCACCACATCCAGCTAATTTTTGTATTTTTAGTAGAGACGGGTTTCACTGTGTTGGCCAGGCTGGTCTCGAACTCCTGACCTCGTGATCCACCCACTTCAGCCTGCCAAAGTGCTGGGATTACAAGCATGAGCCACCGCGCCTGGCCAGAACTGGCTAATTTTTTGTATTTTAGTAGTAACGGGGTTTCACCATGTTGCCCAGGGTGGTCTTGAACTCCTGAGCTCAGGCAATCCACCCTCCTTGGGCTCCTGAAGTGCTAGGATTACAGACATGAGCCACTGCGCCCTGCCCATTTTTTGTTTTTATTGAGACAGGGTGTCACTCTAATGTCGGGGCTGGAGTGCAGTGGTGCAATCATGGCTCACCACAGCCTTGACCTCCGGCCTCTGCTGATCCTCCTGCCTCAGCCTATCAAGTAGCTTGGACTAGAGGCACACACTACCATACTGGCTAATTTTTTTTTTTTTTATTTGTAGAGACGGGGTTTCACAGGTTGCCCAGGCTGATCTTAAACTCCTGGGCTCAAGTGATACAGCCGCCTTAGCCTCCCAAAGTGCTGGGATTACAGGCGTGAGCCGCCAAGCCTAGCCATGGTTTGTTTTTTCTACACAATATGCTTAAACAGCAAATAGCATTTAGAATGCATTCAGAAAGGATATTAGCTGAATAATAATCTTCTCTATTGTTCATGTAAGAAAAGTGCTAACGTAGGCATGTAGAGGCTCAACAATGTCATCAAGTCCTGAAGTTCTTTCCAGGCCTCTCTTCTGCCTTCTGCAATGTTAGGCTTCAATGTCAAGCTGCTTCCTTCAGTAGCACTAGAAGCAGCAATGAGGGCTGCATGCTTCCCTGCTCACTTCCAGAAATCTCTTCCTCCATACCTTGCCCTATACATCTTTTCATCTATATCATTTGTAATACACTTTATGATAAACCAGTAAACGTTAAGTGTTTCCTTGAGCTGCCCAGCATTCTGAGCAAGAAACTGATTCCCACTAGCTGGCCCACTTAAATCACAGGCTTATGCCTGATCCAATAACCATAATCTGGAATAAAAGGTATTGATTAGTATAAGTTAATTGGGGCTCATTTCTGGACCTGCAATGAAGTCAGTTTCCTTCTCAAATCCTCAAAACTCTAAGTGCTTTCAGAAGTGGGAATAAAGCTGGGCGCAGTGGCTCACGCCTGTAATCCAAGCACTTTGGGAGACCAAGGCGGGCGGATCACCTGAGGCCAGCCTGAGCAATGTGATGAAACCCCGTCTCTACTAAAAATACAAAAATTAGCCGGGCGTGGTCACATGCACCTATAATCCTAGGTACTCGGGAGGCTGAGACAGGAGAATCAGTTGCACCCTGGAGGAGGAGGTTGTGGTGAGCTGAGATTGTGCCATTGCACTCCAGCCTGGGCAACACAGCGAATCTTCATCTCAAAAAAAAAAAAAAAAGTGAGATTTAAATAGGTCTTCATCAACCTAGGGATTTGGGGTTGTCAGCAACAGAAACTACTACAGAAACCGACTGCATAGACTGGAGAGACAGGTGGTCCCCTAAAGGAAAAATAGAGTGTTAGAAGAAAGGAGAAGAGTGCTGGACAGTACATACTTAATAAATATCCACTGGTTATTTCATAGAAGGCCCAAAAATGTATTTATTTAACCCAGTAATGAAATCTGAGGGTTAGGAAGAGCAGAAAAGAAGGAAGTGTGGCAGGAAGGAGGAAAAATGAAAGTGGGCCCAAACAACACGGCAGCTAACAGAGATCTTGCAACGAAAGGTCTATTGGTGGAAAAACTCCTCCCAGGAATGTCAGAACTTTTAAGAACGACATAGTAATGACACAAGAATAAACACACAGGCAAATGAGCAAACAACGGAATACAAAGTCTAGAAATAGACACAAGTAAATATGCTAACATTATATATCAAGGGCAGCATTTAAATTCTGTTGGGGCAGTTTGTTTAACAAATGGTGTTGACATAACTGGCGCTCCATCGGGCAGAGAAGTTAGACCCCAGCTCATACATGCATAAGGATAAACTCCAGTTACATTAAAGATTTAATTTTTTTTATAAAAAGAAGAAGGCCGGGCACGGTGGCTCACGCCTGTAATCCCAGCATTTTGGGAAGCCGAGGCGGGTGGATCACCTGAGGACAGGAGTTCGAGACCAGATTGGCCAACACAGCGAAAACCCGTCTCTAATAAAAATACAAAAATTAGCCAGGCGTGGTGGCGGGCGCTTGTAATCCCAGCTACTCGGGTGGCTGAGGCACGAGAATCGCTTGAACCCGGGAGGCAGAGGTTGCAGCAAGCCCAGATAGCACCATTATACTCCAGCCTGAGCGACAGAGAGAGACCTGTCTCAAAAAAGGAAAAAAAAAAAGAAAAGAAAAAGCAAGATAATTCACTGGGGGAATTTGGGGAAACTTTCCTAAACTGGAAGCCAAGCGTGAGCCCTTCTCATTCCGCCTCTTCCATTGGGTTCCCATGACTTACGTCACAGGACATCGAGCCAATGGGAACTAGGCATGGGCGACGAGCTTGCCCAATGGGGCCGGGGCGGGAGATTTGAAAAGTCCTTGGCCAGGGCGCGGCGTGGCAGATTCAGTTGTTTGCGGGCGGCCGGGAGAGTAGCAGTGCCTTGGACCCCAGGTGAGCTGGCCTCCTGTCGCAGGCCTTGCGCCGGGAGTGGGCAGATGATCAGGTAGATCAGAGGGTCCGTTGGGCTGGCCTGCGCGCACGCCGCAGGGCTGGAAGGAGGTAGGGACGATAGCAGGGCGGGGGCGGTGAGACCAGCGCCCAGATTGGGGCTAGTGTGCTGACCTGCTCCCTTTTACCAGCTCGGGCTAGCGCTTCCGGCTCGATCGGTCCAACCCCTCCCTCTCTCTCTCTTTTTCTCTGCTTCTCACGGCTGTTTCCCTTCTCCGCCCAGCTCTCCTCCCCCTTTCTCTCTAAGGATGGCCCAGAAGGAGAACTCCTACCCCTGGCCCTACGGCCGACAGACGGTAAGGCCCTTCCCTCCGTCCCTGCGCCCCCATGACCCCGCATGGCGAGTTCCTGCTGGGAAACTTGAGATCCTGCAATGAGCAATCCTTTAAGCACTTTCTTCCCCGTTATGCTCCAAAGTACGGGTCCCAAGTTTGACGACAGAACCCGCTCTGGTCATTTGTAGCCACATCCTGTCAGGTGCTGCCAACGTGAATCTGACCAGCCAGTGACTCCCAGCTGGTGAGGACCTCTGCAGGGCTCGTCACATACAAATGATATCTGGGACTGAGCAGGCAGGGCCTGGCCTTCAGGCCATGATTCCCAATCCATATCCTGAAAAAAAAAAAACTAGACAGCAAATAGAAATAGACTCTAAAAGGATATAAAGTTACAGTTTAAAAGGCCCAGGGCAAGTCTAAATTACAATTTGGAATTAATGACTAAATTGAGGTAAGAATCTAAATGGATCTAAATTGACTTATTTCCCAATGGTCCAGACAGATTTCATTGAAGGGCCTCCTCTCTGATTTGAAATGCCACCTTTATTATATATATAAATTCCCACATATATGTGGGTCTATTTCTGGACTGTATTTTATTCAACTTGCTTATTTGTAGATTGGTACCAATATCACTATTTGGGGCCTAGGGGCTTTCTTCTCTTGGCTGCAGAAGAAGGAAGGGGCCCTGCACAGGCTTTGCTCCCTGTTTTTGGAGCTCTTGCTTCCTGGAGAGTCTGTCTGTTCCCTTGTACATCAGCTCCCTCCCTCATGGAGCACTGAGTGAGGCTGTCAGGAATGGAGTCTGAATGAGAAACCATTGTCACTTTTACCTTAGTCACTCCTAAAAGAAAATGTACCTATTATTTTGAGAGTTGAAAGTGAGGCCAGGTAGGTGGCTCACGCCTGTAATCCCAGCACTGGGAGGCTGAGGCAGGTGGATCACCTGAGGTCAGGAGTTCGAGACCAGCCTGGCCAACATGGTAAAACCCCGTCTCTACTAAAAATACAAAAATTAGCCAGGCATGTGCCTGTAATCCCACCTACTCAGGAGGCCGAGGCAGGAGAATTGCCTGAACCTGGGAGGTGGAGGTTGCAGTGAGCCGAGATGGCACCATTGCACTCCAGCCTGGGTAATAGAGCGAGACTCCATCTCAAAAAAAAAAAAAAATGAAGAAGTTGAAAGTGAGAAGTGGTCCAGGGCCATCAGGGTAGCTCTTAGTGTCCTTAAAGCCTGTTCTTGCAAAAGTGTAAATCCTGGTTATTGCTATAACATTCAAGGCCTCAAGCATCTTATCTAAGCCTTAATAAACTAAGCTTTTTAGGAGACTTTGAGAATACCTCTGTGCTAAACCCCTTGAATTGTGGGTGTTCATTGACGCAGCTCTCTACTGTGGTGTAAGTGAGGGGCTGGATGAATGACTGTGTTGTTATGGACAGGACTTATACAGGTTGAACAGCTTCATGCCTGAAAAGTGTGGGCCAGGGCCAAAGAAGTGAAATGTTAGGTGTTGGTGTGAGTCCTTTGCCCCTTATCTTAGGCCTACTTAGGTTATTTATTTTTTATTTATTTATTTATTTATTTATTTATTTATTTATTTTTTGAGACGGAGCCTCACTGTGTTGCCCAGGCTGGAGTGCAATGGTGCGATCTCAGCTCACTGCAACCTCTGCCGCCCAGGTTCAAGCGATTCTCCTGCCTCAGCCTCCCGAGTAGCTGGGATTACAGGCGCCTGCCACCACACCTGGCTAATTTTTTTTTTTTTTTTTGAGATGGAGTCTAGCTCTGTTGCCCAGGCTGGAGTGCAATGGTACGATCTCGGCTCACTGCAACCTGTGCCTCCCAGGTTCAAGCGATTCTCCTGCCTCAGCCTCCTGAGTAGCTGGGATTACAGGAGCGTGCCACCACGGCCAGCTAATTTTTGTATTTTTAGTAGAGATGGGGTTTCACTGTGTTGGCCAGGCTGGTCTCAAACTCCTGACCTTGTGATCCGCCTGCCTCGGCCTTCCAAAGTGCTGGGATTACAAGCATGAGCCACCACGCCCAGCCGCACCCAGCTAATTTTTTATATTTTTAGTAGAGATGGCGTTTCACCATGTTGGCCAGGCTGGTCTTGAACTCCTGACTGCGGGAGCCACTGCGCCCAGCCCTAGGTTGTTTATTAATAACCCATTTTAATATGGGACTATGAGCAGAGGCTGGGAAGCAAAACTGTCACATCAGTGTTTCTCTTTGAATTGGGGGTAGGTGGGTGGGTGGCTCTTTAGCAAGGGGCTGAAATACTGCTTGCAGCACATTCCACCCCGGTCATCAGACAAAGGCACCCTCAGAGCTACCCCCTGCTCCTTCTCAGGCTCCATCTGGCCTGAGCACCCTGCCCCAGCGAGTCCTCCGGAAAGAGCCTGTCACCCCATCTGCACTTGTCCTCATGAGCCGCTCCAATGTCCAGCCCACAGGTAACTGGCGCAAGGGGGAGAGGACTGAGCTGGGGAGATGACCGTCTGTGGGAGGGTTTAGGGATGAGAAGGTCATCCCTGTTCGCATTCAACCTACCTGTTCTCTCCTTAGCTGCCCCTGGCCAGAAGGTGATGGAGAATAGCAGTGGGACACCCGACATCTTAACGTAAGTGCCCCAAGCCTGGGGGTGGACGGGGGTGAGGGGACAATGAACAGGCAGGAAGTCGGGGAGATAAAACCTAAGCACGGGAGGAGTAGGGATGAAGACAAGTGGGGCGGAGGACAGGATGGGATGAGGAAGCAGAGAGAAAGCAAACCTCTTAATAACCAAAACCGGTTCTGAGTTGCCTTCCTCCACTTTCTAAGCAGGCGGCACTTCACAATTGATGACTTTGAGATTGGGCGTCCTCTGGGCAAAGGCAAGTTTGGAAACGTGTACTTGGCTCGGGAGAAGAAAAGCCATTTCATCGTGGCGCTCAAGGTCCTCTTCAAGTCCCAGATAGAGAAGGAGGGCGTGGAGCATCAGCTGCGCAGAGAGATCGAAATCCAGGCCCACCTGCAGTATGGGTTGATGCCCCCTGAGCCGAAGCCCCTCTGCTCCCTCACCCCCAGCTCCTCATTCAGCCCCACTTCATCCAGATTGCTTTCTCTGTAGCTATGGCTAGTGAGCCCCATTTAGCTCTTAGTCCTGGCAAGCCTTGAATCCAGAAATCTGCCTCCAGTTTCCCCTTACCACTCCCAGCCCTGGTGTCCCCGGCCTGGGCCACGTCTGACCCCAGTTTGCTCCTATCATCTTTTCCAGCTCTTTTATGCCTTTGGCCTGAGGCCTCCTCTGTCTCTTCCCCCAGCCATCCCAACATCCTGCGTCTCTACAACTATTTTTATGACCGGAGGAGGATCTACTTGATTCTAGAGTATGCCCCCCGCGGGGAGCTCTACAAGGAGCTGCAGAAGAGCTGCACATTTGACGAGCAGCGAACAGCCACGGTCCGGGCGGGTGGGCACCTGGGGCGCCAGTAGGGGGCTCGAGGCTGAGGGTGTGCTGCTTGTAGCTGGAGGTCCATCCTTGTCTGATTGCCTGTCGTTGCCCCTCCCAGATCATGGAGGAGTTGGCAGATGCTCTAATGTACTGCCATGGGAAGAAGGTGATTCACAGAGACATAAAGCCAGAAAATCTGCTCTTAGGGCTCAAGGGAGAGCTGAAGATTGCTGACTTCGGCTGGTCTGTGCATGCGCCCTCCCTGAGGTATGGTGGCCTGGGAGGCCAGACCTGGGTGTGAGGCTGGGCCATTAAAACCTCTCCAGGGGCCGTGCACCGTGGCTCACACCTGTAATCCCAGCACTTTGGGAGGCCGAGGAGGGCGGATCACCTGAGGTCAGGAGTTCGAGACTAGATTTGCCAACATGATGAAACCTTGTCTCTACTAAATATACAAAAATTAGCCGGCCATGGTGGCGGACGCCAGTAATCCCAGCTACTGGGGAGGCTGAGGCAGGAGAATTGTTTGAACCTGGGAGGCGGAGGTTGCAGTGAGCCGAGATTACGCCATTGCACTCCAGCCTGTGTGACAGATCGAGACTCTGTCTCAAAAAAAAAAAAAAAAAATGGTTAGAGTGTGGTGCTAATAACCCCAAGGTCGCAGGTTTGATCCCTGTAGGGGCCAATGGTAAAACTTTGGCCAGGCGCGGTGGCTCACGCCTACCAGTCCCAGCACTTTGGGAGGCCAAGGCGGGTGGATCACTTGAGGCCAGGAGTTCAAGACCAGCGGACCAGCCTGGCCAACATGATGAAACCCCATCTTTACTAAAAACACAAAATTTATTAAGCAGACATGGTGGTGCACACTTGTAATCCCAGCTGTTCGGGAGGCTGAGACATGAGAATCACTTGAACCCGGGAGGCAGAGGTTGCAGTGAGCCAAGATCGCCCCACTGCACTCCAGCCTGGACTCTCTCAAAAAAAGCCCGGAGCAGTGGCCTTTTTTCCTCCCACATCACTTTTTAATGGTTTCATAGTATCACATAGTAGCTGATTTATTTAACCAGAACATGCCTGATGGGCATTAGAGATGTCCCCAGTGAACTCCAAATGAACACTGCCCTCATATCAGGGTATCTTATTAAGATATATCCTTCAGTGTGGAGTTGCTGGGCTGTGTGCAGGCTCACCTCTGGGGCTTTGGGATATATCATCACCCCAACCCCACCCCCACTCCAGTGGCCTTGCCTGGCTGGACCTCTCCCCTGGTACATCCCGTGGTCTTTTGGCTCCCAGCCGTCAGGCAGCAGGGAAAGGAGAGTTCCTATGTCACTAGGACCCCTGCCCACGCCCCTTATCCCTCCCAGGAGGAAGACAATGTGTGGCACCCTGGACTACCTGCCCCCAGAGATGATTGAGGGGCGCATGCACAATGAGAAGGTGGATCTGTGGTGCATTGGAGTGCTTTGCTATGAGCTGCTGGTGGGGAACCCACCCTTTGAGAGTGCATCACACAACGAGACCTATCGCCGCATCGTCAAGGTGGGAGGGCGGCCTGGGCTTCGTGCCAGCTGCTGAAGCCAGGAGCTGGGGGGCTGGGGGTGGGCAGAGTGTATTTGCATGGCCCTAAGTAACTCCAAACAGAATGGGTAGTCAAGGAAGATGTAGCCAGGGTGAAACTAATGCAGCCCTTCCATCTCTTCACACCTGCAGGTGGACCTAAAGTTCCCCGCTTCCGTGCCCATGGGAGCCCAGGACCTCATCTCCAAACTGCTCAGGCATAACCCCTCGGAACGGCTGCCCCTGGCCCAGGTCTCAGCCCACCCTTGGGTCCGGGCCAACTCTCGGAGGGTGCTGCCTCCCTCTGCCCTTCAATCTGTCGCCTGATGGTCCCTGTCATTCACTCGGGTGCGTGTGTTTGTATGTCTGTGTATGTATAGGGGAAAGAAGGGATCCCTAACTGTTCCCTTATCTGTTTTCTACCTCCTCCTTTGTTTAATAAAGGCTGAAGCTTTTTGTACTCATGAGTGTAGATGTTTCTAGGTGGAGGCTTTGCTGTGGAGGAAGCTGTTCCCTAGAAGGAGAGCTGGCTCACCCTGAGGAGCCGGGATGAGCATTACTTTGCTATCCCTGGTAACACCCTACCCTCTCAGCTCTGACACCCACCTGGTCAGCTCCCAGCCACCCCAACCCCTACCCCCACTTCCACCTCTACCCTCACTGTCTATTCTTTCCGTTGCTCAGACTCCCACAGCCCAGGGGCACTGGGGGCCCTGGCTCCCCATTGCTACATTGGAACACCAGCCATCTCTGGCCACCTTCTTTCACCTCTCTCTTGGTTGTCCAACTTCTAGTTTTTCCTTTTCTGTTTCATTCTCTGCCCCTTTGCCAACGTAGGAGCAACTAAACAGTTCTGTACCCTAGAAGCTGTCTTTGATTATTTCACTGCTCTGGTCAGGATCTAGTACAGGAGCCAATAGAAGCAGCAGTGATTCTGTCTTGTTCCTGACATGAGGTTACACTGTTATGCATGATGCTTGCTGTAGGTTTTTGATAGATACCCTTTATCAGGTTAAACAGGGCCTATTCTACTCATAGTTTACTCAGAGTCTTTAAAAAAAAAAACAAAAACAAAAAAACAGTTAAGTCTGGGCGCAGTGACTCATGCCTGTAATCCCTGCACTTTCAGAGGCCGAGGCAGGCAGATCACAAAGTCAGGAGATCGAGACCATCCTGGCCAACATGGTGAAATCCCATCTCTACTAAAAATACAAAAATTAGCTGAGCGTGGTGGTGCACACCTGTAGTCCCAGCTACTCAGGAAGCTGAGGCAGGAGAATCGGTTGAACCCGGGAGGTGGAGGCTGCAGCAAGACCAGATCGCACCAATGCACTCCAGCCTGGCTACACAGCAGGACGGAGTCTCACCCTGTCATGCAGGCTGGAGTGCAGTGGCCCGATCTTGGCTCACCGCAACCTCCAACCTCCTTTCAGGTTCAAGCTATTCTCCTGCCTCAGCCAGCCAAGTAGCTGGGATTACAGGCGCACGCCACCAAGCCTGGCTAATTTTTTTGTAGTTTTAGTAGAGATGGGGTTTCACCATGTTGGCCAGGCTGCTCTCGGACTCCTCACCTCAGGTGATCCACCCTCCTCGGCCTCCCAAAGTGCTGGGATTACAGGCGTACCACGCCTGGACAAGTTTTTTTTTTTTTTTTTGAAACAGAGTCTTGCTCTGTCGCCCAGGCCAGAGTGCAGTGGTGTGATCTCAGCTCACTGCAGCCTCCGCCTCCCGGGCTCAAGTGATTCTCCTGCTTCAGCCTCCCGTGTAGTTGGTATTACAGACATGTGCCACCACTCCTGGCTAATTTTTGTATTTTTAGTGGAGACCGGGTCGGGGTTTCACTGTGTTGGCCAGGCTGGTCTTGAACTCCCGACCTCAAGCAATCTGCCCACCTCGGCCTCCCAAAGTGCTGGGATTACAGGCGTGAGCCACTGCGCCTGGCAGGATTGATTGATTTTTTTTTTTTTTTCTTAATTCATTGCTTTACACCAAGCCTCTAGAACAGTACCCGGAATGTAGAGGACACTCAGTAACTACTGTCAAATGAATAAATCTAACCAAAATTATGGTGGCAGTGGGGTGGAAGAGTGAATTCCTTGAATTTTATAGCAGGAAAAAAACAGGTCATGCCTAAAACTGAAAACTTAAGAAGCAGCAACGGAAGCATGTGATTTAAAAACGTATGGTAGGGGCTGGGCGTGGTGGCTCAGGCCTGTAATCCCAACACTTTGGGAAGCCAAGGCAGGTGGATCACCTGAGGTCAGGAGTTCGAGACCAGCCTGACCAACATGGTGAAACTCTGTCTCTACTAAAAAAATACAAAATTAGCCGGGTGTGGTGGTGCACGCCTGTAATCGCAGCTACTTGGGAGTCTGAGGCAGGAGAATTGCTTAAATCCGGAAGGCAGAGGTTGCAATGAGCTGAGATCACGCCATTGCACTCCAGCCTGGGCAACAAGAGCAAGACTCCTTTTGAAAAAAAAAAAAAGAAATCTGTACTTGTACACCCTGAGAACGTAAAAATTAAAAAAATAAAAATAAAATATACGTGACTGTTGTTTAACAACTTAAAAAAAATGTATGGTAGGCCAGGCTCAGTAGGCCATGCCTGTAATCCCAGCACTTTAGGAGGCCAAGGCGGGCGGATCACGAGGTCAAGAGATCAAGACCATCCTGGCCAACATGGTCAAACCCTGCTTCTACTAAAAATACAAAAATTAGCTGGGCATGGTGGTGTGTGCCTGTAGTCCCAGCTACTAGGGAGGCTGAGGCAGGAGAATCTCTTGAACCCGGGAGACAGAGGTTGCAGTGAGCCGAGGTCAAGCCACTGCACTCCAGCCTGGCGACAAAGTGATACTCCGCCTCAAGAAAAAAAAAAGTATGGTAAATACCCAAAGCAAATCAAAATAAAACAGTGAAAAGACTTGGAACTGGCTATCTCTAGGGAGAAAGAAATGGGCGGGGTGCTTATTTATTTTTTATTTTTTGAGACGGAGTTTTGCTTTGTCACTCATGCTGGAGTGCAGTGGCACAATCTCAGCTCACTGCAACCTCCACCTCCCAGGATCAAGCGATTCTCCTGCCTCAGCCTCCCGAGTAGCTGGGATTACAGGCATGTGCCACCACGCCCAGATAATTTTTGTATTTTTAGTAGAGATGGGTTTCACCATGTTGGCCAGGCTGGTCTCAAACTCCTGACCTCCAGTGATCCACCCGTCTGGGTCTCCCAAAGTGCTGGGATTACAGGCATGAGCCACTTCACCCATCCTGTAATTTTCTTTCTTTCTTTTTTTTTTTTTTTTGAGACAGAGTCTTCTGTCACCGAGGCTGGAGTGCAGTGGCACGATCGCGGCTTACTGCAAGCTCTGCCTCCTGGGTTCACGCCATTCTGCTGCCTCAGCCTCCCGAGTAGCTGGGACTACAGGCGCCCACCACCACGCCCAGCTAATTTTTTTTTTTTTTTTTGTATTTTTTAGTAGAGACGGGGTTTTCACCATGTTAGCCAAGATGGTCCCGATCTCCTGACCTCGGGATCCGCCCGCCTCGGCCTCCCAAAGTGCTGGGATTACAGGCGTGAGCCACCGCGCCCGGCCTTTCAGCCTATAATTTTTAATAAGGATATCCCTAGGGTTTTTTTTAAAGCTCTTCTACTGGATGCACATGCAGATTATTTCCAATGCTTTGCACTGTGGCCAGTGTCTTTTGAGTGCCTCCTGTGCACCTTTGTGATGGTCTCTAGTTGTCCTCTAGGGGACATCTGAAGAAAGACATGGCAATGGAGAGTACCAGCATCTAGAGAAAGACGTGGTAATGCTGGGTACACGCAGGTAAACGGTCTATAGATATCACCAAAAATGCCCCTCTAAGTGGTGGACAGTTTACACTCCCACCGGCAATAATGAAGGACACCTATTTTCCCACAGCCTTAACGCTGACTCCTACTTCTACTGTTACCTGCGGGTAAGCCTGCAGCTATCCGGGAAACTCCGGAGTTGCAACTCTGCAGCAACCTCTCTCCTCTGTTTTCTCGAGGGCAAGAATTCAAACGAGATAAAGGCAAGGTTTTTGCTTTTTCTCAAGACGGAATCTTGCTCTGTTGCCCAGGCTGGAATGCAATGGCGCGATCTCGACTCACTGCAACCTCCGCCTCCTGGGTTCAAGCGATCCTCCTGCTTCAGCCTCCCGAGTAGCTGGGATTACAGGCACGCGCCACCACGCCCGGCTAATTTTTGTATTTTTAGTAGAGACGAAGTTTCACCATATTGCCCACGCTGGTCTCGAACTCCTGACCTCGTGATCCGCCCCCTCCTCGGCCTCCCAAAGTGTTGGGATTACAGCCGTGAGCCACCGCACCCGGCCAAAGGCAAGGTTTAAGGCAGAAGGGAGAACTGATTTTAAGCCAAGTGAGAGTTTATTACAAGACAGTACACTTAGAAGAGGACAAGGCTGGAGACTTGAAAAATCAAGCGCCCCTTCCTTTTCTTTGTTTAGAGTTTTTTG
Organism: Homo sapiens; assembly: GCF_000001405.40. Classification (NCBI taxonomy): domain Eukaryota; kingdom Metazoa; phylum Chordata; class Mammalia; order Primates; family Hominidae; genus Homo; species Homo sapiens. The sequence goes on along the minus strand of NC_000017.11, from coordinate 8,200,698 downwards.
TTTTTTGTTTTGAGACGGAGTCTCGCTCTGTCGCCCAGGCTGCAGTGCCGTGGCACAATCTCGGCTCACTGCAAGCTCCGCCTCCTGGGTTCAGGCTATTCTCCTGTCTCAGCCTCCCGAGCAGCTGGGACTACAGGCGCCCGCCACCACGCCCGGCTAATTTTTTGTATTTTTAGTAGAGATGGGGTTTCACTGTGTTAGCCAGGATGGTCTCGATTTCCTGATCTCGTGATCCTCCCGCCTCTGCCTCCCAAAGTGCTGGGATTACAGGCGTGAGCCACCGCGCCCGGCATGTTTAGAGATTTTACACCCCCTACGTTTTCCCGCACTCTCTGTCTCCTCCTTATGTTCTTCCCTTGAGCGGGCTGTGGCTTAATTGCCGCATGCGCAGTGGCCTGCCGGCGTTTGGGAGGGACCGCATGCGCAGTGTTCACCGAAGTCCAGCGCATGCTCGTTAGGGGCAATTCGCCCTTTCTGGTCCAGAGCCCCCACAGGAAGGTTAGATACCGATCAAATTCAACCATTTTCTTTTTTCACTGCACATACTTAAAACCTTATAGGGGTGATGGCTTGCTAACTCCTGTTGCAAGACTCCTCTTACTCCCAGCACCAGCGATGGCCACTTATTATCTCAGACGGATGGTTGTATGCCTGCCGGTCCTTCACTCGATGAGAACCAGCTTGGGGGTTCTTCCCTTCTCGTGCTCATTATGTCAGAGGGACAGATTTCTAATCGCTTGACCATGGCTTGACAAATGCCCAGCATACCTGGAGGCCCTCTTTCCTGCCTTCATGTCTACCTACTCTAACATTACAAAGCATCCCCAATATATTGGCTTTTCTACTCCCGAAAACACCAAAGCTCCCCACAGCTCCCACACTAGTGATACCCCCTCTTCTCTGAGAAACAGCAGAACCAAACAGGGGTCTTGTACATTCCAATCACCAATTGCCCCAAGTTACCTCTGTTCACCTATTATCTGTCTTTCCCCTTCTCAAGTCCTGTCAGGGAGCCCCTCCAGATATACTCTGAACCCAGGCCTCCTACTATTCAACAACTTCATTCCAGTAATTGTCCCCTTTCGCTTTTCTACCATTTATATATATATATATATGTGTGTGTGTATACACACACATATCTATATCTATATCTATATCTATATATCCTTTTTTTTTTTTTGGCTGGATAAGTCTCATCACCATGCAAACATCTAGCATCCAAAAAAAAAAAAAAAAATAGGCCAGGGAGTTTGGCTCAGGCCAACTTTATATCTGTAAGCTCTGCCTCAATATCTGTGTGGAGAAGAGTGACGACAGACTGACACAGGCAGCCAAGGTGTTGGAGCAACTCACAGGCCAGACCCCTGTGTTTTCCAAAACTAGATGCACTGTCAGATCTTTTGTTTTCAGGAGAAATGAAAAGATTACTGTTGACTGCACAGTTCCAGGGGCCAAGGCAGAAGAAATCCTGGAGAAAGGTCCAAAGGTATGGGAGTATGAATTATTTTTTCTTAACTTCTCAGATACTGGAAACTTTGGTTTCCAGGAACACAAGAATCTGGGTATCAAATATGAAATCTTTGGCTGCGACTTTCTTTCTTTTTCTTTTTTTTTTTTGAGACAGGGTCTCACTCTGTCATCCAGGCTCAAGTGCAGTGGTGTGATCACAGCTCACTGCAGCCTTGAACTTGTGGGCTCAAGCAATCCTCCTGCCTCAGCCTCTGGAGCAGCTGGAACCACAGGTGCACACCACCACACCCGGGTAATTTTTTTTTCTCTTGTAGAGATGGGGTCTTATTATGTTGCCAAGGCTGGTGTTGAACTCCTGGGCTCAAGCGATCCTCCCACCTCGGCCTCCCAAAGTGCTGGGATTATAGGCTTGAGCCACTGTGCCAAACCCATGGTTTTATTTTTATTTTATTTTTGAGATGGAGTCGCTCTGTCACCCAAGCTGGAGTGCGGTCGCACAGTCTCAGCTCACTGCAACCTCCGCCCTCCGGGTTCAAGCAATTCTCCTGCCTCAGCCTCCCGAGTAGCTGGGATTACAGGCGCGTGCCACTGTGCCTAGCTAATTTTTATATTTTCAGTAGGGGTTTCACCATGTTGGCCAGGGTGATCTTGAACTCCTGACCTCAGGTGATCCACCCGCCTCAGCCTCTCAAAGTGCTGGAATTACAGGCGTGAGCCACTGTGCCCGGCCCAGCCCGTGGTTTTAAATACGACTCCCACATTTGTATTTCTCACCTTGACGTCCCTATCAAGCTTGAGACTAACACATTCTTGGCAATCTAATAGGCTTCTCAAAGTAAGCATGCCTAAAATAGTACTTTTTTTTTTTTTTAGACAGAGTTTTGCTCTGTTGCCCAGGCTGGAGTGCTGTGGCATGATCTCGGCTCACTGCAACCTCTGCCTCCCGGGTTCAAGCGATTCTCCTCCCTCAGCCTCCTGAGTAGCTGGGATTACAGGCACACGCCACCATGCCCAGCTAATTTTTTTTTTTTGTATTTTTAGTAGAGACGGGGGTTTCATCATGTTGGCCAAGCTGATCTCGAACTCCTGACCTCAGGTGATCCCCCGACCTTGGCCTCCCAAAGTGCAGGGATTACAGGCGGGAGCAACCACGCCTGGCCTAAAATAGTATTCTTAATTCAGTGCCCACCCAATCAAAAAAGTTGTAACTTCCCCATCTCAGTCAATAGCACTATCATTTAGCACCCAGTTACTTGGGTCAAAAACCTAGAAATCATTCCTGGTTTCTCTCTTTTTTCTTCCTCACCTCCCCAGATCTTCCAACTCTTCCTATTGCCAACCAAATCCATGGAGAGGCCCACCTTTATTACACACACACCCCATCACTCTCATGCTGGTTCAAGTCACCATCCTTTCTGGCTTGGGTGATAACAACCTCCTAACTATTCTCTCTGCTTCTTCTGTTCCTGCCTCCTAGAGTCCATTCCCCCAACAGTCAAAGTCAGAGCATATCATTCCTCTGTTCAAAACCCTCCTTTGGTTTTTCGGTGTATTTACAATAAAATCAAAACTCCTTATCATGGCTGGCAAGGTCCTATCTTCAGGGGTTATCAACAATGGCTGCACATTAGAAACATCTGAAGGACTTAAAAAGAAAATAGGAGACCGGGCGCGGTGGCTTACGCCTGTAATCCCAGCACTTTGGGAGGCTGAGGCGGGCGGATCACGAGGTCAGGAGATCAAGACCATCCTGGCTAACACGGTGAAACCCTGTCTCTACCAAAAATACAAAAAAAAATTACCTGGGCGTGGTGGTGGGTGCCTGTAGTCCCAGCTACTCAGGAGGCTGGGGCAGGAGAGTGGCATGAACCCAGGAGGCGGAGCTTGCAGTGAGCTGAGATCGTGCCACTGCACTCTAGCCTGGGCGACAGAGCGAGATTCCGTCTCAAAAAAAAAAAAACCAAAAAACAAAAAACTCCCAGGCCTTGCCCTAACAAATTCAGATTTCATTGATCTGGGTTGAGGCTGGAGCATCCATGTCGCTTTTAACTCCCCAGGTGGTTCTGAGGGGTTCAGAAGCCCTTCCCTAAGAGTTCTGGTCCTTCCCCACCAATGGATGCTCCTCTGTAACTGCTCTTCCACTTCCATCACTAAAGCTCTGACCTCGGCTGGGCGCGGCAGCTCATGCCTGTCATCCCAGCACTTTGGGAGGCCGAGGCGGGTGGATCACCTGAGGTCTGGGGTTCAAGACCAGCCTGGCCAACATGGTGAAATCCCATCTGTACTAAAAATACAAAAAAAAAAAAAAAAAAAAAAAATTAGCCGGGCGTGGTGGCGGGTGCATGTAATCCCAGCTACTTGGGAGAATGAAGCAGAAGAATCTCTTGAACCCCGGGAGTGGAGGTTGCAGTGAAGCAAGATTGGGCCATTGCACTCCAGCCTGGGCAACAAGAGGGAAACTCCATCTCAAAAAAAAAAAAGAAAAGAAAACAAAGACATCATCTCCTCACACGTGAAAATTCCAAGTATCCAGAGCAAGAGCCATCCCCAAATGTAATGTAAAACCATGGCATAATTCTACATGCCACATAAAACCTGCATTCCACCCCCATCCCACTCAACAAGCCCTACAGACAATACAAGGGCTGATGCCCTGGGGTATGGGGAGAAAACTGTCCTAGTTGACATTCTTCTAAATGCTGAGCATAGCTGACTGGGGCATTTGTTCATTTTTGGGACTTGATGATCACCTTACCTTCCCACTGAATGGATGATGCCAAAAAAAGAAAGCAGAAAAGATATCCAGCCTTGCTTGTTCCCCTGATAGGTCGGCAGATAACTTCTCTCTACTTCTGTGAAGTAATGTGGGCACTGGCAACATTGAGGGTGGGTAATCTGACCCCCACCCCTACTGTGGCCTATGGAGGGGTGAGACCTGTGGATGATCGAGCTTTCACTTTGAGTCAGCATGTCTCACTTTGAATTCCTTCACCATTGCTTATTAGCCATGTGACCTTGGCCAAGTTATTTTTGTATTTTTGTGAGTCTTTTTTTTTGAGACAGACTCTGTCACCCAGGCTGGAGTGTGGTGGCGCTGTCTCAGCTCACTGCAACCTCCGCCTCCTGGGTTGAAGCGATTCTAATAGAGACAGGGTTTCACCATGTTATCCAGACCAGCCTTGAACTCCTGACCTCAAGTGATCCACCTGCCTCGGCCTCCCAAAGTGCTGGGATTACAGGCGTGAGCCACGGCACCCAGCCAGCCACTGCGCCTGGCCTTTTGTGAGTCTTTAAGATGGAAATAACAGTCATTTCTTACGTATAACATGGGCTGTTCCCAATTGCATTAATATACATAGACATCTTGTTTTGTTTTGTTTTGTTTCGTTTGTTTGTTTTGAGATGGAGTCTCACTCTTGTTGCCCAGGCTGGAGTGCAATGGCATGATCTCCGTTCACTGCAACCTCCACCTCCCAGGTTCAAGTGATTCTCCTGCCTTAGCCTCCCGAGTAGCTGGGATTACAGGCATGCGCCACCACACCCAGCTAATTTTTATATTTTTAGTAGAGACAGGGTTTCACCATGTTGGCCAGAATGGTCTCTAACTCCTCACCTCAGGTGATCCACCGGCCTCGGCTTCCCAAAGTGTTGGGATTACAGATGTGAGCCACCGTGCCTGGCCCTTACATAGAAATTTTTACTTTCTAAAAATAATATTTTAAAATGCTGTTGGGGGCTGGGCGCAGTGGCTCACGCCTGTAATCCCAGCACTTTGGGAGGCTGAGGCGGGCCAGGTGGGGCGAGGTGGATCACGAGGTCAGGAGATCGAGACCATCCTGGCTAACACGGTGAAACCCCGTTTCTTCTAAAAATACAAATAATTAGCCGGGCATGGTGGCGGGCGCCTGTAGTCCCAGCTACTGGGGAGGCTGAGGCAGGAGAATGGCATGAACCCGGGAGGCAGAGCTTGCAGTGAGCCGAGATCATGCCACTGCACTCCAGCCTGGGCGACAGAGTGAGACTTCGTCTCAAAATAAATAAATAAATAAAACAAAATAAAATAAAATGCTGTTGGAGGCCAGGCACTGTGGCTGATGCCTGTAATGCTAGCACTTTGGGCAGATCATCTTAGGTCAGGAGTTTGAGACCAGCCTGGCCAACAAGGTGAAACCCTGTCTCTACTAAAGATAAAAAAATTAGCCGGGTGTGGTGGCATATGCCTGTAGTCCCAGATACTCAGGAGGCTGAGGCAGAGAATCGCTTGAACCCGGGAGGCGGAGGTTGCAGTGAGCTGAGATGGTGCCACTGCACTCCAGCCCGGGCAACAGAGCAAGACTGTGTCTCAAAAAACAACAACAATACAACACACAAAAAAAAGACAATACATAAGTGAATGAACATAGCTGTGTTCCAATAAAAATTTATAGACTCTGAATTTTTTTTTTTTTTTTTTTTTTGGAGACAGCGTTTCATTCTGTTGCCCAGGCTGGAGTGCAGTGGTGTGATCTTAGCTCACTTCAACCTCTGCCTCCTGGGTTCAAGCAATTCTCGTGCTTCAGCTTCCCGAGTAGCTGGGACTATGGGCACACATCACCATGCCCAGCTATTTTTTTTTTTTTTTTTGAGATGAAATGTTCTGTCGCCCGGGCTGGAGTGCAATGGAGCGACCTTGGCTCACTTCAACCTCTGCCTCCTGGGTTCAAGCAATTCTCGTGCTTCAGCTTCCCGAGTAGCTGGGACTATGGGCACACATCACCATGCCCAGCTATTTTTTTTTTTTTTTGAGATGAAATGTTCTGTCACCCAGGCTGGAGTGCAATGGAGCGACCTTGGCTCACTGCAACCTCTGCCTCCCTGGTTCAAGCGATTCTCCTGCCTCAGCCTCCCGAGTAGCTGGGATTACAGGCACCCGCCAATATGCGCGTCTAATTTTTGTATTTTTAGTAGAGACGGGGTTTCACCATGTTAGTCAGGCTGGTCTGGCACTGTTAACCTCAGGTGATCTGCGCACCTCGTCCTCCCAAAGTGCTGGGATTACATGTGTGAGCCACCACGCCCGGCTTCCCAGCTAATTTTTGTACTTTTTGTAGAGACAGGGCTTTTGCCATGTTGGCCAGGCTGATCTTGAACTCCTGGCCTCAAGTGATCCAACCGCCTCGGTTTCCCAAAGTGCTAGGATTATAGGCGTGAGCCACTGTGCCCAGCCAACTTTCATATTCTCTAGATTATTTTCAACAGCTGGGCAGGGTAGCTCACGCCTTTAATCTCAGCACTGAGTCTGAGGCAGATGGATCACCTGATCTCAGGAGTTCAAGATCAGCCTGACCAATATGGTGAAACCCCCATCTCTACTAAAAATACAAAATTAGCCAGACGTAGTGGCACATGCCTGTAATTCCAGCTACTTGGGAGGCTGAGGCAGGAGAATTGTTTGAACCTGGGAGGCAGAGGTTGTAGTGAGCTGAGATTGCGCCACTGCATTCCAGCCTGGGCAACAAGAGCGAAACTCTGTCTCAAACAAACAAATAAAAACATAAAAGCATTCTTAGCTCATGGCCGTATAACAACAGGTGTTGAGCTGGATTTGGCCCTTGGGCTATACTTTGCTGAACCCCACTGTAGTGGACACTGTGGTAGCCTCCTGACAGCCCCTCCTGCCTTCCCATTATGTCGCAACTGTTTGAATTTGGAAGGAACTGACCCATCCCTAGCTCCAGGAGGAGCATAACTCTTAACCTAATCAGTTAATTCTTTTTTTGAAATAGGGTCTGGCTCTGTTGCCCAGACTGGAGTGCAATAGTCCGATGATAGCTCACTGCAGATTCAACCTTCTGGGTTCAAGCAATCCTCCCGCATCAGCCTCTACAGTAGCTGGGACTCCAGGTGTGCAACACCATGTCTGGCTAATTTTTTTTTTTTTTTTTTTTTTTTTTTTTGAGACGGAGTCTCGCTCTGTTGCCAGGCTGGAGTGCAGTGGCACAATCTCGGCTCACTGCAACCTCCGCCTCCCGGGTTCAAGTGATTCTCCTGCCTCGGCCTCCAGATTAGCTGGGATTACAGGTGCGCGCCACCACACCGGGCTAATGTTTTTGTATTTTTAGTAAAGGCGGGGTTTCCCCATGTTGGCCAGGATGGTCTCGATCTCCTGACCTCGTGATCCGCCCACCTCGGCCTCCCAAAGTGTTGAGATTACAGGCGTGAGCCACCGCGCCCTGCTGATAATTTACATTTTTAAAGGATCATTCTGGTTCTCTATTGAAAATAGACTGTAGAGAGAGGTGAGGGTAGAAGAAGTGAGACCATTCGGGAAGCAACTTCATTTATCCAGGCCAAAAATGATGGTGGTTTGGACCAGGGCAGAAACAATGGTAAGGATGAGAAGTGGTCAGATTCTGGATGTATTTTCGAGCAGAACCAACAAGATTTCCTAAAGGATTGGCCATGGATTATGACAGAAAGAGGAGTCAAGTACAACTCCAGGGTTTTTGGCCTTGGCCACTGGGAAGATGGAGTTGCCACTTACTGAGACAGAAGTCACCGTAGGAAGAAACAAGGTTTTGCGGGGGAGGTGGTGCGATAGGGGTGGGGCAAGGAACCAAATCACAGGAAGGATAAAGGTGGGGCTATCTTCAGGCTGGCACAGGAATTCAAACGCTCTCAGAACTCATGCCTCTTCATCTTTTGTCTCTGGTTCTCTTCCTTATCAGCCTCATTCTTTCCTTCTACAGACAGCGATCTCCTGGACATGAAAGATGGACAAGCTGATACCCAGCTTGAGCTCTCAAGAGAACAGAAAGGCGTCTCACACTCTCCACAAAGCTAGAAACAAACAACACTGTGGAGGATTTTTACTGGTCATACATTGGGTCATGTGCCCTTCCCTGAGCCAATCTGCAGTCAGAAGGATGAAGTACTCTAATTGGCCAGTTTTGGGTCACGTGCCTGTTCCTGGCTGTCATTGCACCAACACATCAGGGAATGGGGAGTTGAGGAGTGAGGAGCTTCCCCTACACAGAGAGACGGTGGGTAGCCCATTTGTCCGCTAAAACCTTCAAGATACATCTAGAATGCATCCATCCACATCGTGCTAGGCTGAGCTACTATCACCTGGTACTTGGAACCGCCTCCTCACTGGTCTACCGTCTCCCTTGCAAACATTTTCTACAACAGCCAGTAATCCCTAAACATGAATCCCATCACATCACTCTCTTCCTGTGCTCAGCTTCCCATTCTCAAGGGAAGTCCTCCCATCTTCTAAAGAATATCTACCTACCCAGCCCAATTATATATGAGCTTTTTAGGTTTTTTTTTTTAGAGCAAAGGAATGACAGGTTTTGTCAAGCTGCAGGTGACTATAAGATACAGACAGCTGACAATTGTGGACTCCTCAGGCGTGGTGAAAGATTGAGCTACTATCATTAGGGTTGGCTGGCTAGGACCCCGGCAGGCACCTGGGGATAGTAGTGCTGGGAAGTTCTGGGGAGTTGCACTTCTGAATGCTGGCATGACACTGCCTCAAGACATCTCTCTATCCAAATGGAAAAAACAACCACATCCTTTGTCAGCTAAGGAGAGTTAGCAAACTGTTTTTATTAAATACTGATGTCTGGCCGGGCACGGTGGCTCACGCCTGTCATGCTAGCACTTTGGGAGGCCGAGGCGGGTGGATCACTTGAGGCCAGTAGTTCAAGACCAGCCTGGCCAACATGGTGAAACCCCATCTCTACTAAAAATACAAAATTAGCCGGGCGTGGTGGCGGGCGCTTGTAATCCCAGCTACCCGGGAGACTGAGTTAGGAGAATCGCGTGAACCCAGGAGGCGGAGGTTGCAGTGAGCCGAGATCGCGCCACTGCACTCCAGCCTGGGTGACGGAGTGGGACTCTGTCTCTAAATACATAAATAAATAAATAAATAAATAAATAAATAAATAAATAAAAATACTGATGTCTCCAAGCTTTGGCTATGTGTTGCAATGTACAACCTTTCCAATGTCGCTGCACCATTGCATTTAGAGGAAATCTCCATTCCCTAACAGGAACTACAAGGCCCCCTGCATGACGTGGCCCCTGCTGCCTGTTCAGCTCCTTGGCTCGAAATCCTTCCCCTTATCTTGCTGATTTTGTTTTAGTCCCAATGTCTCCTGCCCCCTCACCTCAGTTTCTTGAATACGTCAAGACTTCTTTGTCTCTGAGAGGTAGCTCAAGTTTTCTTCTCTCTGCCTGGGGGGTGGCTGCGTCTTTTTGGTTCTTTTTAGTTAAAAGTCTCACCAAAGAGGTATTTTCCTGACCCCTTACCTAAACTAGTGCCTGCTCAGTTATATTCTCAATCATAACACTTTATTTCCTGTATAGCACATATCAAAATTTGTGATCATTTCATTTGTTGAATATTTTACCTCGTGGCAAAATCACACGCCATCCTCCAAGGGGCGAGACCCCTCAGTGTGAAAGGGGCAAGAGACACAGAACAAGAGTGACAAACGCATAGGAAAGCCCAGAGGCCGCTGCCTTGACCACAGTGGGTCGCTCTGAGCAGTTCAGTGGTTAGGTCTCTTAACCAAGAAAGATAGAGCAAACCATTCATGCTCATGCTGGACTTCTGGTTTCCTTCTTTTTAGTCAACTAGGTTCAACCCTGATGGTCCAAGAAGGATATGCCATTTTCATCCTAAGAACCTCTCTAGGAACCCCAAGTGGGCTCCCCACTTGGTATTTTTGCTAAGCAATCACTGTTGGGGGGGGTACAATTACAGGCAGAAAGGATCTGAGCCCCACCCCTCGGGACTCAGGAATTTGAGGACCTTGGTCTTTAAGATCTGCCCCATCAGCTTTCAGAAAGGGCGGGGCGACGGGAGCAGCTGTCACCTCCTTCTCTCCACCCTGCCGGCGTTCACGTGTGTTCCGCTGTGCAGTAACAGCTCTTCTTCCGGGACTTCCTGGTCGCCGCGACCAATCAAAATGCTTTTCCTGTCCTTACCATTGTCAGCCGCTGCCAATCGGCTCGCCTCTACCAACGCCCCTTAAAGGCGCAGCCACTGCCTCCGGAGCCGGGGCGAACCAATTCCTCCGTTGCGGCCCCCACCTGCAGTATGGAGTCGTCTCGGGGGCGGCCCGGGCCCGAGACGGACCTTCTGGCTGTAGCGGAACATCAGGCCCTAGTCTTTGGCGGCGGGCCGGGCCGAACGTCCTCTGAGCCGCCCGCAGGCCTCCGGGTGTCCGGGGAGGAAGAGACCGAGAACGTTGGGGGCGCGAACCGCCACCCCAGGACGTCCCCGAAGACGTCAAGCTGCGGCGTCGTCCACCGGCCGGAACGGGAGGCTCTGGAGAACGAGCCCGGCCCTCAAGGGACGCTGTCTGGGGCCGGGAGCCGCAGGGGGGCGCCGGGTGCAGAGCACGAACCTTCCCTGTCCTCCCGGCACAAGAACCCGGCGCCGCCCGAGGGCAAGCCCTCCTCCGGGAGGGACTGCCGTCGAGGGGGACCAGGCGGCGGGATGGATGTTGAGCAGCAGGAGGAGGAAGACAACGACGAGGAGGCGGCCGCGGGCAGCAGAGCCGGCCGCTCGTTCTCCAGCCGTCTTCAGGACAGCCGCAGCCTGGACGGGCTGAGCGAGGCGTGCGGTGGCGCCGGGTCCTCAGGGAGTGCCGAGTCCGGCGCGGGCGGCGGACGCCGCGCCACCATCTCCAGTCCCCTGGAGCTCGAAGGCACAGTGAGCCGCCACGGCGACCTTACCCACTTTGTCGCCAACAACCTGCAACTCAAGATCCGTCTGAGCGGCGCGCCTCCACCCCCGCCTTCTGCCCCTGCGCGGCCCTGCCCAGCGCCTGCACCCACACCCACACCGGCCATTCCCCCAATCGACCCCGAGGTGCTGCGGGATCTGGAGCGGTTGAGTCGGGAGCTGGGAGGCCGGGTGGACCGTCTGCTTCGCGGTCTGGGTGGCGCGGTGCAGGAGCTGACGGCGCTGAGCGTGGGTTGCATCCAGACCTACCGCGATGCTGTGGACTCCTTAGGTGAAGCCGTGGACATGAGCATCAAGGGCATGTACACCCTGCTGGCGCGCTGCGAGGAGCTGGAGCGGGCTCTGCAGCCGGTTCAGGGGCTGGCGCGCCAAGTCCGGGATATCCGACGTACTCTGGAGGTGTTGGAGGCCCTGTGCAAGTGACCAGGAGGACAGGAGAGGCCGGTCCTGGCCAGGGCAGGGCCCAGCAGGACCCTAAGGACTCTTCAGGGAGTCCTGGTGGGAAGTGCCCACTGAGGGGAGGCCTGTGTGTTGGAGGCTCTTCCAGATGCGTTCAGCTGGCCCGTGCCCACTCGCTGGGCCTTAGGCTGGTGTATGTGGGGAAGTTCTAACGGCTCTCCTGGTGGGAAGGGATGTTGCTCTGCTTGTATTCAGTTGGCCATCTGTAGCTACCCTGTTCTTCCCAACTCTCCTCCCTAGCTAGAGCACCAGCCCTGGGAACACGGGGCTTTAGGTCTGCTTGAAGGTGAGGACGTGACTCCCACATGTAATCAGGAGAAAGGGACAGAGGAAGCCCCAGCCCCCACTGTGGCTATCCTGACTCCAGTGGCCACATCTCAGGTGCCAGGGGCTGTGGGAGCTTGTGCCGTCCTTGGCCAAACACCCCGCAGGCAAAGATGCACCCCTGCTGATGGAGAGCCTTCTGCTTCTGCCCTCTGGCCCTCTACCATACCACTTCCCCAGCCAGAACCGGCGTGCAGCTAGGAGGAATGGGTTGCACGGCGGAGGGGGTGAGGTGGGAGGCGTCTCACTGCTCTCAGGGTTCAGGTAGAATGTTGCTGGTTTTGAAGCTCACCTGTTGTGGAGTGTTCTAATCAGTTTTGGCTTTCTGAGTTTTTGTGGAATTAAAGTGCTGCTGCTGCGAAGGCTGAGGCTGAGTCTGTGTGGGGTTGCAGTGATTAATAAGCCAAAGGAATGGGAATGAGGGTCGGTGTTGTTCACGCAGCTCCCTTGGGGCTGGTGCTGGGAGTGGGGTGGGGGTGGAGATGTCTCAGGCTCCGTGGGGAAAGATATGGTTCTTGCTCTTAAGCATCTGGTCTGAGGGGAAATGTGAGGACACAGATAATCACTCACAGGGGCCCAGAGATCCGGTAACCACAGAAACGTAAAAAAGATGCTCTAGAAGAGAAGGGGAAGAAATTGTCTTCTCAGGTCCTCATGAATAGGCAGGGGCTGGGTGGATTGGACGGACATCTTACCTCTGGGGGAAGACTGGGAACACTTGTCAGCTCTATTCCTGACCATTTCCCACACTCTGCAGATCAGTGCCACGTGGTTTGAGACAAATTTGTCCCAAAGCCTTTTGTTTACAGTTCACACAGTAAGTTCAGGAGCCATATATTGTGGCCATAAGATGTAGAAGCAAAGATCACGAAACAACCCCGGTTTCTCTCAATCCCTTCCTCTCAAGACACGCCCACTTTAGAATGCGCTCCAATACGCTCCCTGTTCTGGGATTGGAAATGTGGCGCTGTTTTTCCCCAGAGACGTTACTTGGCTCTAAAACGGAGTGCAGTAATCGTACTTTCGAAAAGTTTCAATCCTGGCCCGTACGGGGATCGAACCCGCGACCTTGGCGTTATTAGCACCACGCTCTAACCAACTGAGCTAACCGGCCAGTTGCTACGAAAAGCTTGAAATAAATCTATTTAGTTACAATACTGTTCAGTTCTCTCGGGAAAAACCTTCAGTTGTGGGACTGCTTTATGAGAAATGAAAACAGAACACAAACACTGACTAACTGAGCACCTAGACGAGTAACAGACAGTACTGGCAAGTACAGATGATGCGACTGGTGTAACTGCAGGTCGAGGCGCAAGTACCATGTGCACGAAGAGCAAAAACCCAACAGCGTGTGGCAGATGCACCGGGAGAGGATAGATGGGTACGTGAGTAAACCATGTAGGATGGAAGTTATGAGTTTCTGCAACTGTCCTCACAATGTTTAATGTTGGCAAAAGCGTGGGGGAAACACGGAGGCACCGCTGGGATTCGAACCCAGGATCTCCTGTTTACTAGACAGGCGCTTTAACCAACTAAGCCACGGCGCCGCCGGAAAGACGCTTAGGATCTTGTTTCCTTGGCCAGGTCAGCTGAATTGCAGAGAATGAATACAAAGATGTCACAAAAAGTCGGCTGCATACGAAAATGAGGAAAGGATGGATGCAGCTGGGAAAGACACGAAAACTGAATGGAGTGACTGGGGGTAACAAGAGAAATCCTAGTTTTGATGCTACAAAACTGAGCACAGGACTTCCTTAGCCGACGAGGATGGGATTCGAACCCACGCGTGCAGAGCACAATGGATTAGCAGTCCATCGCCTTAACCACTCGGCCACCTCGTCTGCAGACAGCCCTCGCTGTTCAGACTGCCCTCCGCATCTCACTTCTCTGGAACCTGAACTTCCTGCAGGTGGGGCTCGCCTACGTCGTGAAGGCTGCACATTTGGAAGGAATCCGCTCGGCACTGGAAAGAGAACTCGTAGATCAGAGACCGACTTCTTCCATGCGTGATGGCCCGACCCTCGTCCCTCTGCTGAGAGGTCTAGAACTGCTCCTGTCTTAGGACCCGCGTTATCCGCCCAGAATTACGGTACCCGGATCCATCGCAAAAATCCCCGCGCGATGGTTGGGCTGTCCAGACGGGGCGGCCTTGGAACTTCCAGAAACCCCTCTCCTTCAGGCCCCAAGGAGATATTGCTTCTTCAATGACCTGAACGCTGAAGCTCGACCGTAGTTTAAAATAAAGGGGGTTAATAAAAACCGAAGAAAAATAGCCGCTGACCCCGACGTGATTTGAACACGCAACCTTCTGATCTGGAGTCAGACGCGCTACCGTTGCGCCACGAGGTCGGCCGGCCACTCGGCAGCTCAGGTCTCCCCATGACCACTGTGCGCCCTGGAGGCCAGGGTCATGAATCGAGGCATGGATGGGCACCTAGGGCATTTCTGCCCCTCTGAACAGCTGCGGGGTCGTATCTGCGCTCGCCGAGCCAGCCCTGTAGGACGAGCCGGGCGAGTGGCACCCCAGGGCAGTGACTATGGGATCCAGGCTTAGCGGTCTGTCCCTCCCGGCCCCCGGCGTCCTGCCAACGCCCAGATAGAGGGTCCCGAGCTGATCGCCAGGGGATCCCAAAGCTTACAGCCCAGTGGGGACGGACCTGCCTAGAAACGGATGGAAGGATGGGAACCAGACGGAACGTGACAGAGCAGTGCCAGAGCCTAGGGCACCTGAAGTGGTAAGAGATTTGCTCCCCCAGCAGCAGGTCTCCTCCCCGGTTGCACTTTTGTAATTGCCTGCGGAGACTTCGAATGTACCCACGCACAACCCCCGGGTTCGGAGATTCTGATTTAAACGGCCCAGGGAAGAGCTCTGAGATCGGTATGTAAAACTTTTGAAAAATATCGGTATTTCAACTGTTGGAGGGCAGATAAATTTTGTCTATATTTTGATGAGTTTTGACAAATACATACACCTGCGCAAATCACAACTCTTTAAAAGCATATAGGACATTTCCCTCTCTCAAGGTTCTTGCATGTCTGTCCCTTCTCTACGGATCCCCACTCCTCCCTTGCCAGAGGCAATCTCTGTTCTAATTTTAACCACCACAAACATCAGTATTTCTTTTTTTTTTTTTTTTTTTTTTTTTTTTTTGAGACGGAGTTTCGCTCTTGTTGCCCAGGCTGGAGTGCAATGGCGCGATCTCGGCTCACCGCAACCTCCGCCTCCCGAGTTCAAGAGATTCTCCTGCCTCAGCCTCCCGAGTAGCTGGGATTACAGGCATGCGCCACCATGCCCGGCTAATTTTGTATGTTTAGTAGAAACAGGGTTTCTACATGTTGGTCAGGCTGGTCTCGAACTCCCGACGTCAGGTGATCCGCCCGCCTCGGCCTCCCAAAGTGCTGGGATTACAGGCGTGAGCCACCATGCCCGGCCAACATAAGTTTTTTGTTGTTGTTTTTCTGTTTTTGTTTTGTTTTGTTTTGTTTTGTTTTTTTGAGACGGAGTCTCACTCTGTCGTCCAGGCTGGAGTGCGGCGGCGCGACCTTGGCTCACTGCAACCTCCGCCTCCCGGATTCAAGCAAGTCTGCCTCAGCCTCCCGAGTAGCTGGGATTACAGCGCCCACCACCGCGCCCAGCTATAATTTTTGTATTTTTGGTGGTGACAGGGTTTCACCATGTTGGCCAGGCTGGTCTTCAACTCCTGATCTCGTGATCCGCCCTCCTCGGCCCCGCAAAGTGCTGGGATTACAGGCGTGAACCACCGCGCCCGGCTGTTTCTAGAAGAATGAAAGGAGTTCAATAGGCCGAGATGGCACAAGAGGTCCTGCCTGTATCTCATTCCTTTCCATCCAAGCCAAATTTCTACACAGTGGCTCTCTCGAAAGTTATCAGGGACCACAGAGATGTCAAAGCCAACAGGCTTTCTCAGGCCTGGCCTTAACCGACTCCAGGCAACATCTTCTCCATGAGCCTCATTTCCCATGGTTGTCTTGACACTAGTCTGCTGGCCCTTCCTAACTGGCTCCCCGCTCCAGTCTCTTTTTCTTTTTTCTTTTATAAATTTTTTTGAAACGGAGTCTCACTCTGTCGCCCAGGCTGGAGTGCTGTGTGGCGCGTTCTCGCTCGCCGCAACCTCTGCCTCCCGGGTTCAAGCGATTTTCCTTCCTCAACCTCCCGAGTAGCTGGGATTACAGGCGTGGTGCCGGTTAATTTAATTTTTTTTTTTTAAAGTAGAGACCGGGATTCACCATGTTGGAGAGGCTGGTCTCGAATTGCTGACCTCAGATGATCCACCCGCCTCGAGCTCCCAAAGGGCTGGGATTACAGGCGTGAGCCACCGCGCCCAGCTCCAATCTCTTTTTCTGTTCTCCCTGTAAATCCTGGTTTTCCTCGGGTGAGGTTTTCTCTCCTCATGCTACACATGTTCTACGGATTCAGCTATTTCCTGCTTGCTAAGGGCTCCTGAATCTCGCTCCCACCTCTGGACTCAGATGTGTAGTGCCTGCTGATACCTTCACTTGACCCTGCCATACTTCCTTCCAGTCTTTCTGCACTCCCAGAGAGTGGCCAGGCCCAGGCTGGGGGATGCATCCTTGATTCTTCCCTCCCCCTACCGTCTTACTTCCAGTCACCACATCCTGTCAATTCCATTTCCTCAATAATCCCCCTGTCAACCATCCTTCCCCATCCCACTGACAACCCCTCAGCCTCTCTTGCTGGATTGTTGTAGCAGGCTCCTCTCTAATCTCCCTGCCACCCGAATAGTCAGATAATCGTCTTTTTCTTTTTTTTTTTTTTTTTTTTGAGATGGAGTCTGGCTCTGTCTGGAAGAAGAGGAGGAGGAGGAGGAGACGGAGCCGGGCATGGTGGCTCACGCCTGTAATCCCAGCACTTTGGGAGGCCGAGGCGGGTGGATCACCTGACGTCGGGAGTTCTAGACCAGCCTGACCAACATGTAGAAACCCTGTTTCTACTAAACATACAAAATTAGCCGGGTGTGGTGGCGCATGCCTGTAATTCCAGCTACTCGGGAGGCTGAGGCAGGAGAATCTCTTGAACTCGGGAGGCGGAGGTTGCGGTGAGCCGAGATCGCGCCATTGCACTCCAGCCTGGGCAACAAGAGCGAAACTCCGTCTCAAAAAAAAAGAAAGAAAGCAAGCTTAGGCACCAACCAGAAGAAGCTCCCACCGACCAAAATTGGGACAATTTGAACATCAAAAAGAATAACTGCAATGGATTGAAATACACAAAAGATGTTAAAATGTACAAGTTCATAATGATATTAAAAACAACTAATTACTTTTTCAAGATGCTAGAGAACCAACTCATTTTTCTGAAAACTGGTAAATCATAAGAAAAAACCCACACATTTATCCTGCCTTTCCTGTATGACCTGTATCTCATGGTAAACAAATTGATGATGGCAAGTTCTTACTGCAGAATGACAGAATTAGGACATCCCAATTTTGCAACTCCTAATGAAATAATAGAGCTAGGCAGTGATGATCAACTAAACCATTAGGTGAAAAACGGACGGGGAATTTTATAATTGTTGCCTAGTCTGACTACACCTGAACCCAATGCTCAGCCTAAACACTAGAAAAACAGGGAAAAGCAGGCGTCCTGATGCAATGGAATCAGGAGAACAAACCGTCACTCATGATGTGTTTTTACCAGAAAACTGAACGTGAGACTAACCAACCACTGGATCTAAGAACCAGTTTACAGGACATGCAGGGCATGGAGGAACATGTTAAATCACATCACAAGAATAAGGCCCAGAAATGGCTCAATGCCTTCAACTGATAAATTGCAAGAAAAGAAAAGAAGGAGAAAGGAGGTGAGGGGGTAGAGAGGAGGCAGGACCCAAGATGAGCGAGACATGACAACCAGGTGCAATGTGTGGACTTTATTTGGACCCAGATTCAAACAAACTGTAAAAGAAAAAAGAAGTGTGTAGGAGACACTTGGGCAATTTGAACTGTTTGATGACGTCTAGGATTTGCTTCAAAATAACCTGGTGTGTGCCATGAGGGAGGGTATACCTGAAACAAAGTTGGCCATGTGTTGATAATTGTTGAAGCAGAATAGAAGTGTTCATTATCTCCCCTCCCCTCGGCTCCCCCATCCTTCCCTCTCCCCACTCCCTCACCTTTCCCCCTCCCCTCCCCTCCCCTCTTTTTGAAGGAGTCTTGCCCTGTCACCCAGGTTGCAGTGCAATGGCACGATCTCAGCTCACTGCAACCTCCACCTCTCAGGTTCAAATGATTCTGCTGCCTCAGCCTCCCGATTAGCTGGGATTACAGGCACCTGCCACCATGCAGCTAATATTTGTATTTTTAGTAGTGACTGGGTTTCACCATGTTGGCCAGGGTCTCGAACTCCTGACCTCGTGATCTGCCCACCTCGGCCTCCCAAAGTGCTGGGATTACAGGCATGAGCCACCGCACCCGGCTATTTTCTTTATTTTGTCATGTTTGAATTTGTCCATGATAAAAAAACGATTTTTAACTCCTTTTATTAAGAGTTCAAATCTTAGTACTTGTGGGTCCCAGTCCTGGAGTGAGTAGTCACTTGGGGGGACACCTCATCACCAGCAGTACCTCCTATGGCCACTGGCTGGCTCTAAATATCGGTTTTGTGAGCAGGCAGAAATAGCGTCTCTATAGGGCAGGCTTCTGTGAACCAAGGTCATGGAAAATGACAGGAAAGGCTACTCACTGTTTATCAGTTCAGGACATGAAATGTGACTACCCCGTTGTTACTTATATAGTAAGTCCCCTATGCAGAAGGCCTATTTTTTTTTTTTTTTTTTTTGAGACGGAGTCTCGCTCTGTCGCCAGGTTGGAGTGCAGTGGCTCGATCTCGGCTCACTGCAACCTCCGCCTCCCAGGTTCAAGCGATTCTCCTGGCTCAGCCTCCCAAGTAGCTGGGACTACAGGTGCACACCACCATGCCTGGGTAATTTTTGTATTTTTAGTAGAGATGGGGTTTCACCATTTTGGCCAGGATGGTCTCAATCTCTTGACCTCATGATCTGCCTGCCTCGGTCTCCCAAAGTGCTGGGATTACAGGCGTGAGCCACTGCGCCTGGCCCAGAAGGCCTATTATAAGCAGAATGCCCCAGACCTCCAGC
Organism: Homo sapiens; assembly: GCF_000001405.40. Lineage (NCBI taxonomy): Eukaryota > Metazoa > Chordata > Mammalia > Primates > Hominidae > Homo > Homo sapiens. Next base: position 8,181,570 of record NC_000017.11, on the reverse strand, counting down.
TGTCAGAGCCCCCATAATCTAACAGCCATCCTGACCCTCCCTTTTTCCCACTCACCCACAGCACCAAGTCCAGACTTCCTTTATCTTCTAAATATCTTTTGATACCCTCCACCTCCTTTGTCCAAGCCTCATCCTGTCTCTTCTGGATAATTATTAGCCTTCTGTTTAAAATCTGCTTAAAAGAAAGAAAAAAAATGGAAGAAGAATATAAATAAAAATAAAATTTGCTTAAAATCCATTATCCATGTTGCAACTAGAGTCATCATCTAGAACACCAACCTGACCATGTCCCTCCCTGTAGCTGCAAGGCCTGGCTTCATCTGGCCCCTGTTTACCTAACGAACCTCACACTGAACTTTTCTTCCCCTTCCATCACTAGGTTTCTGAAATGCTGCCTTCCTTACTGTTCAACAAACACACTTGGCTTGTTCTCACCATCTTTGCACTTGCTATGTCCTCTGTCTGGAATGCTCTTTCCCTAGATGTTCATGTAGCTGACTCTTTCACTTCCTTCTATTCAGAGACCTTGGAAAACCTTGCAAAAGCAGGTCCTGGATTTTCCTCACTTTTGGCCTATGACAACTTCTTTCATCTGTGAACAGTTATATTTGATGAATCTCTCACTGGGGGAGCTCACCTCTGAAGGTCTAGGTCGAAAATGCATGTAAGTTGCAGACAGAGGGAAGAAAAGCATGGAGAGTTCGTCAGTCTTTTTTTTTTTTTTTTTTTTTTTTTGAGACAGGTCTCACTCCTGGCACTCAGGCTGCAGTGCAGTGGTGTGATCATGGCTCACTGCAGCCTCCACTTCCTGGGTGCAGGTGAACCTCCCACCTCAGCCTCCCAAGCAGCTGGAACTACAGGTGTGCACCACTATGTTTGGCTAATTTTTTGTATTGTTTTGTAGAGACGGGGTTTTGCCATGTCGCCCAGGCTGAACCTTCAGTCTTTTTATCTTGTCTCCTAAGAACGTTTGAATGCTTGCTATGCTGTAATTTCTGCATTGGAGAATACAGGAAGCTCATCTCTCATTGTAAATTAGGTGTCATTACTATCACTCATTTTAGGAATCAAATGCAATGGGGGTCATTTCAAAGGAGAAAACTTAATGGGTTTCCTTGTCCATCCTGAGAGCAGGGAGGTTTGAAACTATCTTCAGAACTTTGAAGGGGTCCAACAGTTAAGAAAAGAACTGGCCGGGCGTGGCGGCTCACGCCTGTAATCCCAGCGCTTTGGGAGGCCGAGGCGGGTGGATCACCTGAAGTCAGGAGTCAGAAGTTCGAGAACAGCCGGGCCAACATGGTGAAACCCCGTCTCTACTAAAAATACAAAAATTAGCTGGGCATGGTCGCGGGTACCTGTAATCTCAGCTACTAGGGAGGCTGAGGCAGGAGCATCACCCCAACCCACAAGGCGGCAGTTGCAGTGAGCCGAGATTATGCCATTGCACTCCAGCCTGGGCGACAAAGGTGAAAACTCTGTCTCAAAAAAAAAAAAAAAAAAAAAAAAGGGAGGGGGGTGCCGGGTACGGTGGCTCACGCCTGTAATCCCAACACTTTGGGTGCCGGGAGACTGAGGCGGGCAGATCACGAGGTCAAGAGATGGAGACCATCCTGGCCAACACGGTGAAACGCGGTCTCTATTAAAAATACAAAAATTAGCTGGGCATGGTGGCGTGCGTCTGTAGTCCCAGCTATTCCGGAGGCTGAGACAGCAGGATCACCTGAGCCAGGGAGGTCGAGGGTCACTGTAGTCATGATCATACCCCTGCACTCCATCCTGAGTGACAGAGCAAGACCCTGCCTAAAAAAAACAAAGAGAGACTTTGTTGAACCTCCTTTAAAAAAATAATAATAATAATAATAGTAACTCCTCAGTAAAGTTTAGAAAATCACAAGCTTTTATTTCATGGGGATAAAAGCAAGTTTTGGTGATTACATTGTCTCCAATATGAAGAAAAGGCTGTGCTGTCTTTTAAAGAGATGGTTTATATGAAAATGTCATTACATAGTTTCAATATATAGGAGTTCAACATTTTAGGGACCCTCAATCCTATAAATCATTCCATTTTTTTTCCAATTTCTTGTCTTAATAATACAATATAAGACTCCGAAAACATTAATGTTTATTGTTTAAAACTTTTTTTTTAAGACGGAATCTCATTCTGTCACCCAGAGTGGAGTGCAGTGGTGTGATCTCAGCTCACTGCAATCTCCACCTCGTGGGTTCAAGAGATTCTCCTGCCTCAGCCTCCCGAGTAGCTGGGACTACAGGAGCGTGCCACGATGCCTGGCTAATTTTTGTATTTTTAGTAGAGACGGGGTTTCTCCATGTTGGCCAGGCTGGCCTTGAACTCCTGACCTCAGATGATCCACCCGCCTCGGCTTCCCAAAGTGCTGGGATTACAGGCGTGAGCCACCGCGCCCGGCCTAAAACTTTATTAAAAAGATATCTATGTATGTATATATGTGTGTGTGTGTGTATATATATATATATATATATATATTTTTTTTTTTTTTTTTTTTGAGTTGGAGTCTTGCTCTGTTGTCCAGGCTGGAGTGCAGTGGCGCAATCTCGGCTCATTGTAACATCCGCCTCCCGGGTTCAAGCGATTCTCCTGCCCCAGCCTCCCGAGTAGCTGGGAATACAGGTGTGTGCCACCATGCCCGGCTAATTTTTTTTTTTTTTTTTTTTTTTGTATTTTTAAATAGAGACGGGGTTTCATCATGTTTGTCAGGCTGGTCTCAAACTCCTGACCTCAGGGGATCCGCCCGCTTCGGCCTCCCAAAGTTCTGGGATTACAAGCGTAAGCCACCATTCCCGGCCTTTATTATTGTTTTAACAGAGAGAGGTGTCTCACTATGTTGCTCAGACTGGCTTCAAAGTCTTGGGTTCAAGGAATACTTCGCCTTGGCCTCCCAAAGTGCTGGGATTACAGGCATGGGCTTTTGCTTCTGGTCCCAGAGTGCATTTTCTTTTTATTTCTTTTCTTTTTTTTTGAGACGAAGTCTTGGTCTGTTTCCCAGGCGGGAGTGCAGTGGCACGATCTTGGATCACTGCAACCTCTGCCTCCCGGGTTCAAGCACTTCTCCTCCCTCAGCCTCTGGAATAGCTGGGATTAGAGGCGGGCGCCACCACACCTGGCTAACTTTTTAACTTTTTTTTTTTTTTTTTTTTCAGTAGAGATGAGGTTTCACCATGTTGGCCAGGCCGGTCTGAAACTCCTGACCTCAGGTGATCTCCCTGCCTCGGTCTCCCAAAGTGCTGGGATTACATGCCTGAGCCACCGCTCCCGGCCAATTTTTGGCCAAAGTTTCTAAAATAAAGTTTAAGGTTAAATGTCCGGCTGGGCGCGGTGGCTCATGCCTGTAATCCCAGCACTTTGCAAGGCCGAGGCTGGCGGATCACGAGGGCAGGAGATCGAGACCATCCTGGCTAACACAGTGAAACTCCGTCTCTCCTAAAAACACAAAAAATTAGCCGGGCATGGTGGCGAGCGCCTGTAGTCCCAGCTACTCAGGAGGCTGAGACGGGAGAATGGCGTGAACCCGGGAGGCCGAGCTTGCAGTGAGCCGAAATTGCGCCACTGCACTCCAGCCTGGGAGACAGAGCGAGACTCCGTCTCAGAAAAAGTAAATAAATAAAATAAAACAAAATAAATGCTCTATTTTAATAGAATTATAAATGCCCTATTTTTATAGAATTATAATTCTAGCGTTTCTTTTTTTTTTGGAGACGGAGTTGCGCTCTTGTTGCAGAGGCTGGAGTGCAATGGCGCGATCTCGGCTCACTGCAACCTCCACCTCCTGGGTTCAAGCGATTCCCATGCCTCAGCCTCCCGAATAGCTGGGATTACAGGCACGCGCCACCACGCCCGGCTAATTTTGTATTTTTAGTGGAGACAGGGTTTCAGCATGTTGGTCAGTCTGGTCTCGAGCTCCTGACCTCAGGTGATCCGCCCTCCTAGGCCTCCTAAAGCGCTGGGATTACAGGTGTGAGCCACAGTGCACAGCCCGCTTTTCCCTGTTTGTAGCGCCTATTATCTTACGGATTTATTTGTTTGCATGTCTGTTGTTGATCTCCCTGACTAGAATACCCTTACTAGGTAATCAATAAACATATACAAATATTTGTTGAAGGAATGAGAAATGCCTCTTGGGCTTGTAGTTTAGGCTGGCTAAAAGCACTGAGATGGGGAGTGGGGAGTAGGAAGAGATTGTTCTCCTGGGAGATGGGCCGGGAGGTTCCTTGAGGATGGGACTTGACTCAGCAATTAAAGAACTTTCAGATCTGCAGGGACCTGCGCTGAGGCCCAAAGGTCATGAGGTCGCCGATGATAAGAGCTTCTTGGACTGTAGCTGGGCAATGTCGGAGGCCCAGCACCTCCAAGGGACAAAGAAATCTGAGTTGAGTTTCCCTTCCAGCCGGCTCCAAGCCTCCCAGAGACGCAGGGACTGTCCCATTCCCTTCGTCCACTCCCACTCTTTCCAGCCACCTTGCTCTGCTCTTATCCCCATGCTAGTTTAAGGACGCTGGCCATTTTTTGCACTCTGCAAATCCCTCACCAAACTGAGCAAAGTAGTCTGAAAGAAATCAGTCTTCCTCAAGGAAGGTTCAGGCCTGGGGTCCTCAGACAACCAGGGGCTCCGTGACAATCTGTGACTGCAGAGCAGTCCAGGAACACCGGCCTCTCCAGGTTCGGGTCCCTTGTTTCTCAGGCCCAGCTTGGTGGGAAGCTAAAGGCATGCAGAGGAGGGGAAGGGGAGCGGGTCTGAGTCTTCGGCATGGCGGGGAACTCAGCCCGGCGTGGTGGTGGCAGCGGTCTCAAGTGATCCACAACTGGGCAGCGTAGCTGGGGCTGGGGGCCGCTCCCGGCGTGGGCAACAGCAGAAGCATTGGTGTCCCCAAGCTAGGCCAGGGTGGGTTTCCGTTCATCCGCCCTGCGTGGGCAGATCGGGCGCTGCGGGGCTGTGCCACCTCGCACCCTCTGAGGAACAAAGGGCCTGGCTGCGCGCGGGTACCCAGCCGTTAGGTTAGAAGCGCCTTCGGGTACCCCTGACCTTCGCTGGCCCTGAGAGACCCGCAGCAGCCGGAGAATGTACTGCTCGCGAGGATTTCCGAGAACGCGGCGCCGAGCCCGCGTACACGGTTACCAAGGCAACTGGGCGGTGCCTGAGCGGGCGGGAAGGAGGCGTTCGTCTAGATTTGTCGGCTTGCGGGGAGACTTCAGGAGTCGCTGTCTCTGAACTTCCAGCCTCAGAGACCGCCGCCCTTGTCCCCGAGGGCCATGGGCCGGGTCTCAGGGCTTGTGCCCTCTCGCTTCCTGACGCTCCTGGCGCATCTGGTGGTCGTCATCACCTTATTCTGGTCCCGGGTAAGACCCACGGCTGCACTCAATCCGTCCCCATTCCCATCTCTGAGTGGTCCTAGTCCTACCCTGCCCCCTCCCAGTGTCTTACCCTCTTGGGTTTTCTTGTTTCCCGCCGCCCCCAGGCCTGCCCTGCAGCCTGCCCCTTTTTCACTTCTCTTCCTGTGCCCTGCTCCCAGGACAGCAACATACAGGCCTGCCTGCCTCTCACGTTCACCCCCGAGGAGTATGACAAGCAGGACATTCAGTGAGCTCTTGGGACGGGGTGGCCAGAACGAAGAGGTGGTGGGAGTGGAGGGGTCTTAGAATAAGTCCAAAGGCCTGGGCCAGTCCACTTCCTCTCTGCAGGCTGGTGGCCGCGCTCTCTGTCACCCTGGGCCTCTTTGCAGTGGAGCTGGCCGGTTTCCTCTCAGGAGTCTCCATGTTCAACAGCACCCAGAGCCTCATCTGTATCCTTTCTGCCTGCCCACCTTTCCCACACGACCCACTTCTATCAGGACTCCCTTCAGCCACCTGACACAATAGTGTCTGCTGTAGCCAATCCTTCCAGTTCAAAGATCTTCAACGATGTGCTAAATCCTGCTGTTTACTAGGCACTTAAAATCCCAAAATGAGAGTAAAATACAGTTTTTGGCCAGGCATGTTGGCTCACGTCTGTAATCCCAGCACTGTGGGAGGCGCAGGCAGGAGGCAACATAGTGAGAACCCAAGTCTACAAAAATAATAGGAATAATAAAAACCCCACCGTTTCTTTTTACAATGAGGAGGAGGTAGATACAAATCTGTAATTCAGTGTGATAAGCACTGTGCTATAGAAGTGTGTGAAGATAGAAAGCACAGGCAGGGCGCGATGGCTCACGCATGTAATCCCAGCACTTTGGGAGGCCGAGGCAGGTGGACCACCTGAGGTCAGGAGTTCGAGACCGGCCTGACCAACATGGTGAAACCCCCGTCTCTACTAAAAATACAAAAATTAGTCGGGCGTGGCGGCGCACTCCTGTAATCCCAGCTACTCAGGAGACTGAGGAAGGAGAATTGCTTGAACCCGGGAGGCAGAGGTTGCAGTGAGCTGAGATCGTGCCACTGCACTCCAGCCAGGGCAACAGAGCAAGACTCTGTCAAAAAACAAACAAAAGATATAAAGCACAATGGGAACTCAGAAGAGGCAACGGAAGCGAGCACTGGGAACTCAGAAGAGGCAAAGGAGATGAGGCACATGGGTCAGAGAATTGTGGACCAGGAGGACCAGGACACTGGAGGCTGATTCCAGCGCATATTAAGTCGCTGTCAGCACTCCTTTGTGGCATAGCAGAAGGAGAGCCTACTCTTACCTCTCATCTGAAGGATCCAGGCTGGCCCACAGATAAGGGGTAGGGTAGCCTGAGGTCCGATCTGTGCAGTCACTTCTGGTCTCTCCTCACATGACTGTCCTAAAATTCAGAAGTCAGAGCTGCTGACTCTAGCCCTTGAAACATGGTGAGGGAGCAAGGGATGAACCTGAATGCAGATGCCAGCCCCACCACTGGCCTTTTCTGACCCATCACTGTCTGTCGATCCAAAGACTTTCCTTAATCTCGTGCCTTCCCAAGCCATTGGGGCTCACTGTAGTGCATCCGTGGCCCTGTCCTTCTTCATATTCGAGCGTTGGGAGTGCACTACGTATTGGTACATTTTTGTCTTCTGCAGGTGTGGTAGCATCCAATATTTGGGGATGAGGGAGGAAGGTTGGCCCTAAACCTGAAGGTTTTTCCCCTACCCAGCCCTTTCCTCCATGTGTGAGATACCAGATCCACTCAACATCCTGTAGGCTTTTAAAGTTTCATCCCCTACCCCCCATGCCACCTGCCCTACACTTTCAGAGGTGGGGTCTCTGGTTTGGAGATTTGGGTATTTATACTGAAAGGGTTTCTGAATCTACCACTTGCCTTGGTAGTGCCCTTCCAGCTGTCACTGAAATGGCTTTATTCGTCACCGTCTTTGGGCTGAAAAAGAAACCCTTCTGATTACCTTCATGACGGGAACCTAAGGACGAAGCCTACAGGGGCAAGGGCCGCTTCGTATTCCTGGAAGAAGGAAGGCATAGGCTTCGGTTTTCCCCTCGGAAACTGCTTCTGCTGGAGGATATGTGTTGGAATAATTACGTCTTGAGTCTGGGATTATCCGCATTGTATTTAGTGCTTTGTAATAAAATATGTTTTGTAGTAACATTAAGACTTATATACAGTTTTAGGGGACAATTGAGATGGCTGAACTACTGAATAAAAAAAAAACAACGCTGTTTTCTAGTCCTGCAGACCGTAAGATACTTGGTATCGCTTCTATTTTGGTTACTACGGTAGGTGCCTGGCGGAAGGGAGTGGGCGGAGATATGTAAATAGAAAGTGCGTACAGTTAGAACGTCCGGCACGTAACTGATCGGAGCATTCTGGGAAGAAGTAATTTATTCCTTTTCGGCAGCCGAATGAAAAAAAAATTTAAAAAAATGTGCGAGCTAATATGGCAAAACAACTGGAAGGACGCTAAATAATAGGATTGCTCATACCAGCGCGTTATGAACTCACCCTAGCTTGTAACGGAATCTTTTTCACTGAGTGCAGAATGTCGGCTGTTTGTCTGTATCGTCAGGTGGGATAATCCTTACCTGTTCCTCCTCCGGAGGGCAGATTAGAACATGATGATTGGAGATGCATGAAACGTGATTAACGTCTCTGCGTAATCAGGACTTGCAACACCCTGATTGCTCCTGTCTGATTCTTTCTGACGATCACTTACATTTGTGTTATGCTGATTAGCAGATATCCACAAACATAGCTATGAAGTTCTGACTGGGATAACCTTGCTGTTTGTCTATTTTGCAGTCTTGCTATTGCTGTTTGTCTATTTTGCAGTCTTGCTAAATTTGTTTGTTCTTGAAAATTGTGATTTGGTTTTTGTTGCTTTCTGGAATTTAGGCAGTGAAATAATACAAATGGGCTCTTTGTTTTTTGTCGTTTGATAACTTTAATCCTCACTTCTCAGGAAACATTGCACATCAGTAAATATCTGCAGTCTTGTGCACATGGTGGTTGCCCTCAGGATGGTATTCAATAGGAACTGTATTTCTTTTTCCTTGAGGTAGGGTCTTGGTCTGTCGCCAAGGCAGGAGTGCACGGCGCAGATGTATATACATGGATACATTTGTTTTTGGAGAGTTGGTTGTTAAAAATCTACCAGTACACCCCCAAGAAACTCATCATCACCAATGACTTCTTCCCAAATCCAGAGTCACTTTTCAGACTTGAGATTGACCTCTCTTCAGCATATGGTATGTTGACCACCCCCCTCTTTTGGTTTTTTTTTTTTTTTTTTTTGAGACAGTCTCACTCTGTTGCCCAGGCTAGAGTGCAGTGTGCAGTGGTGGGATCATGGCTCACTGCAGCCTCAAACTCCCAGGCTCAGATGATCCTCCTGCATCAGCCTCCCAAGTAGCTGGGACTACAGGTGAGCACCACCACACCTGGTTGTTTTAAAATTTTTCTATAGAGACAGGGTCTCACTGTGTTGCCCAAGCTGGTCCCAAACTCCTGGGCTCAAGCCGTCCTCCCCACTAGGCCTCTAGGCCTCCTAAAGTGCTAGGATACAGGCATGAGCCACCGCGTTTCTCCCACTCCCCTCTTTTGCACTTTTTTCTCCCTTAGTTTTGAAACAGTGGTTCACCTGGTTTGCCTACTATTATACTGTTCTGGTTGTTCCTTCTTACATTAATTCAATAAATACTTATTGAGTACCTGCAGTGTGTCAGTTACTGGGGACATAATACTGGGTTGTCTCTTCTGCTTGCCCCGTAAGTGCTGGTGATCACTGCTCTTCGGGTGACTTCATCCATCTCTTGTTTTCTTTTCTTTTCTTTTTTTTTTTTTTTTTTGAGACGGAGTCTCGCTCTGTTGCCCAGGCTGGAGTGCAGTGGCGCGATCTCGGCTCACTGCAAGCTCCGCCTCCCGGGTTCACGGCATTCTCCTGCCTCAGCCTCCCGAGTAGCTGGGACTACAGGCGCCTGCTACCACGCCCGGCTAATTTTTTGTATTTTTAGTAGAGACGGGGTTTCACCGTGTTAGCCAGGATGGTCTCGATCTCCTGACCTCGTGATCCACCCGCCTCGGCCTCCCAAAGTGCTGGGATTACAGGCGTGAGCCACCGCGCCCGGCCCATCTCTTGTTTTCAAACATCAACTAGATGCTGCTGGTTTCCAGATCTCAGCTCACGTATGTGAGCCCTAGCCCAGGGCCAGGACTACAGGAACAAGCTCTGTAGCCAGACTGCCTGCCGGGGTCCCAGTGTGGTTTTTTCTCTTTTTGGCCGTGTGATGGGCAGGAGGTCACTTTCCCTCTTTCTGCCTCAGTTCCCTCATCCACACTCACACTTTTTTTTTTTTTTTTTGAGATGGAGTCTTGCTCTGTCGCCCAGGCTAGGGTGCAGTGGCGCGATCTGCAACCTCCGCCTCCCTGGTTCAAGCGATTCTCCTGCCTCAGCCTCCCGAGTAGCTGGGATTACAGGCGCCGGCCACTGCTGTCTGTCAGGGGAGAAGGGTAGCAGAGTGTCAGGCCTGTGGTAACTGCTCAGTGTCTTTTCCCTGAGTTGACTGGGTCTTGGGATTCTCCCATCATAGTAGACATCTGTTTTTGCCAGTTCAGTATCCATCCTTTCTTTCTGGTAATAGCACCACCATTTTCTCTTCTTTTTCTTTCTTTCTTTCTTTCTTTTTTTTTTTTTTTGAGAGGGAGTCTCGCTCTGTCGCCCAGGCTGGAGTGCGATGGCGCAATCTCGGCTCACTGCAACCTCGGCCTCTCGGGTTCAAGCGATTCTCCTGCCTCAGCCTCTTGAGTAGCTGGGATCACAGGCGCGCGCCACCACGCCCGGCTAATTTTTGTATTTTTAGTAGAGACGAGGTTTCACCATGTTGTTCAGGCTGGTCTCGATCTCCTGACCTCGTGATCTGCCAGCCTCGGCCTCCCAAAGTGCTGGGATTACAGGCGTGAGGCACTGCGCCCGGCAGCACCACCATTTTCTTTTGGGAGACCCTCCCTTATTCTTAGTCTGCGTGGTTAGGAAGAGGCTGACAGCCACTCCCTCCCTACCATTCCTCTCTAGGCTCATTCTGTTTTCCTGGGCGCGGTGATTGGTTCAAGCATAAACCTTGACAACAGGACTATTGCTGGAACTTTTGGGAAAAGAGAAGCCTGGACTCTTCCTGGAAATAAAAGCATGCTATAAAATAAAATAATTAGCCTGGGCGCGGTGGCTCACGCCTTTAATCTCAGCACTTTGGGAGGCCGAGGTGGGCAGATCACCTGAGGTCAGGAGTTCAAGAACAGCCTAGCCAGCATGGTGAAACCCCGTCTCTACTAAAAATACAAAAATTAGTCGGCCGTGGTGGCGTCTGCCTATAATCGTAGCTACTCGAGAGGCTGAGGCAGGAGAATCGCTTGAACCCGGGAGACGGAGGTTGCAGTGAGCTGAGATCGCGCCACTGCCCTTCAGCCTGGGTGACAGAGGGAGTCTCTGTCTTAAAAAAAAAACAAAAACAAAAGCATAAAAGTATTCAAATAAATCTTGGAACTTTTAACCTTATATTTTGAATAACTTAATTTTTTTTTTCTTTTTGAGACGGAGTCTCGCTCTGTCGCCAGGCTGGAGCGCAGTGGTGCGATCTCGACTCACTGCAACCTCCGCCTCCCGTGTTCAAGCGATTCCCCTGCCTTAGCCTCCCAAGTAGCTGGGACTACAGACATATGCTGCCACGCCCGGCTGATCTCCCCTCCCCTCCCCTCTTTTTTTTTTTTTTTTTTTTTTTTTTGAGATGGAGTCGCCTTCTGTCGCCCTGGCTGAAGTGCAATGGCGCGATCTCGGCTCACTGCAACCTCCGCGTCCCAGGTTCAAGTGATTATCCTGCCTCAGCCACCCAAGTAGCTGGGATTACAAGTACGTGCCACCACACCTGGCTAATTTTTGTATTTGTAGAAGAGACAGGGGTTGGGGGGGAGGTTCACCATGTTGGCCAGGCTGGTCTCGAACTCCTGACCTCAGGTGATCTGCCCACCTCAGTCTCCCAAAGTGCTGGGATTACAGATGTGAGCCACCGTGCTTAGCCCTATTATTATTATTTTTGAGACAGGGTCTTGCCCTGTGGCTCAGGCAGGAGTGCAGCGGCATGATCATAGCTCACTGCAGCCTCAGCTGCCCCAGGCTCAAGTGATCCTCCCACCTCAGCCTCCCTAGTAGCTGGGATTACAAGCACCTACTGCCACTACTGGCTAATTTTGATGGCTTTTTTCGTTTTGTTTTGAGGCAGAGTCTTACTCTGTCACCCAGGTTGGAGTGCAGTGTTGCCTTCACAGCTTACTGCAGCCTTGACCTTCTGGGTTCAAACAATCCTCCCACCTCTGCCTCCGGAGTAGCTGGGACCACAGGCGGGTAAAAACACACCCAGCTAATTTTTTAACTTTTTTGTAGTGACGGGGTCTCGCTTTGTTGCCCAGGCTGGTCTCGAAGTCTCAAAGTATGGTAATAAAACACTGAAGGCATAAATGAAAACACTCACACACTTTAAATATATATTAGAATGTTAAAACTATGCATAGTACAAAAAATTATAAGCAAAAGTTAAAGAATAGATGATAATCTAGGGGGAATATTTTAAATTCATATTGCAGAGAAAGGACTAATTTTGACATATATATATATCTACAAATTTACAAGATAAATACCAATAACCCAATAAAACTGTACAAAACATTTCTACAGAAATTTCACTGGTAAGGAAATACAAAAAACTCTCAACTATATGAAAAGATGCCTAACCTCATTCATCAATGAGAAATGCAGATCATGTTTCAACTTAGCATATTTGTAATCACCAAAAAGTTTCATAGAGTGTTGGAGGGGGTGTGGGCAAACAGGCGTTGCCTATTTGTTGGTAGGAGTAAAAGTTGGTAACACATCTATGGAGAGCAATTTAGCAATTCCCATGAAAATCAAAATCACAAACACCTATTCCTTTGACCTAGAATTTATTTTTGTTATTTTTATTGTTTTTGAGACAGGGTCTCACTCTGTTGCCCAGGTTGGAGTGCAGTGACATGATCATGGCTCACTGAAGCCTTGGAAATCCTAGGCTAAAGTGAGCCTCCCACTGCAGCCTCCCAAGTAGCTGGGAATACAGGTGTGAGCCACCACACCTGACTAGTATTTTCATATCTAAGAATTAGCCCTACATATTTGCACACAGTTGAAAGGGGAATGTGTAGGATATTCTTTGCACCTTTGTTTGTATTGGCAAAAGGCTAGAAACAACCTAAATGTCTGTCAGTAGGGGATTGGTTACATTCTGATACATGCATACTGTGGAATACTATGCCACCAGAAGAAAGGGAATTTTATGCAGTATAATGGTACAATATACAAGATACATTAAGTGACAAAAGCAAGGTGCAGAAAAGTGCATGTAGTTTGCTTCCATTGGTGTAAAAAAGGGGAAAACTACAAACATGATTGCTTACATATGCATGGACCACCTCTGAAAGGAGGTGCAGGCAACCGGGAGTATTGGCTGTTGTGAGAAAGCAGATTGAGTGGCTGGGATACAGGGTGGGGGAGAAACTTTCTGCATATGCTCTTTTGAACTTTTGAAATTCTGAAGATAAATTGTGTGTGTGTGTGTGTGTGCATGTGTGTGTGTTTAATATACAAGGTTGAGTGCAGTGGCTCACACTTGTAATCCCAGAACTTTGGGAGGCCAAGGCAGGAGGACTGTTTGAGCCCAGGAGTGTGAGACCAGCCTAGGCAACATAATGAGACCCCCATCTCTACAAAAAATTTTAAAAATTAGCTGGATGTGGATGTGGTGGTCTCCGCCTGTGGTCCCAGCTACTTGGGAGGCTAAGGTGGGAGGATCACTTGAGCCCAGCAGTTCGAGGCTGCAGTGAGCTTTGATTGTGCCACTGCACTCCCTCCTGGGTGACAGAGTGAGACCATGTCTCTGAAAAAACAAATAAAAATTTAAAAACTATAACATTTTTGGGGCCGGGCATGGTAGCTCACACCTGTAATCCCAGCACTTTGCGGGGCTAAGGCCGGAGGATCACTTGAGGCCAAAAGTTTGAGACCAGTCTGGAAAACATGGTGAGACCCCCCCCATCTCTATAAACTAGATATAAATATATATAAAACTATAACATTTTAAACAAATGTGAGCCTGCAGCTGCTTATGTTGCCTGTGTGGAAATGAAGCTACGCCAGAGGCAAGCATAGCTGAAGAACAGAGAGACAGATCCCCGATGGCAACTTTTGAGGACCTGGATCCTGCTGTTTCTAGCTGTGTTCTAGTTACAAGATTCTTCTTTTTCGGTTTAATCCGTTTGAGGAGGGTTGGCAAGTGTCTTGGTCATTAAGTCCATCACAGCAAAGATCATGCTGTTTTAATAATCTCTCTTTGTGTTTATTATTGTAGCTTCTGATACCAGCACAATGCCTGGCATTGTAGAATGAGAGAGCCCTCACTTAACAAATGAGAAAAATGAGGCCCCAGGAGAAAGGCATTTGCTCCAGGACACCATGCAGAGTGGGAAAGCTGGGACTAGAACCCAAGTCTCCTGGCTGTTAGGCCAAATCAGTTGACTCAATTAAACAAATGTTTATTGAACACCTGCTACCTGCCAGGCTCTGGGCTTGGCATGTAATATGGAAGGTAATAAGATGTCAACCAGGTGCCGTGGCTCATGCCTGTAATCCCAGCACTTTGGGAGGCCGAGGCAGGTGGATCACCTGAGGTCAGGAGTCCGAGACCAGCCTGCCCAACATGGTGAAACCCTGTCTCTACTAAAAATACAAAAATCAGCTGGGCTTAATGGCAGGCGCCTGTAATCCCAGCTACTCAGGAGGCTGAGGCAGGAGAATTGTTTGAACCCAGGAGGCAGAAGATGGCACCACTGCACTCCAGCCTGGGGGACAGTGAGACTCCGTCTCAAAAATAATTAAATAAATAAATAAAAAGGAAGATGTGGGTTCTTGACAACCTCTCTATCTAGAGGAGAATTCCTCCCCCTTTCAAAACAACAGGAGCTTGTTAAACCCAGTGAATCTCTAATGAATGGAGGGTTGGAGAGTGAGGGACCGGAACCAGGAGTCCTTTCACGCACCCAATCCCAGGAGATTCTGATCTGCCTATGTCTTCTCCCACCCATACAGGGCTCTGGCATGTGGCACCCCCACCACCCACACTGCCCTGCTTCCCAGTGGCCAGGGGCCTGGGCCTGCTCTGCTGGCTGGTTCCCTGGTCGAACCAGTAAAAAGTGATCAGTGCTTCGCCAGCCCAACTAGGACTGTCCTTACAGAATACTGGGCACAAAGGTCCTGCCCAAACACATCCTTCCCGTTAGCAGTCTGTCTGCCTGCTATGCACTCACCATAGTTTATTATTCATTTGCCTGCCTCGTTCCTGGCACTGTGCTTGGTACTTGTTCAGAGAGAACTTCACATATTAAAAAGATACCACTTTATGTGTTTACATTATGCTTTAATACAAAAAGAGACACCTTCTTGACCGGGTGCATTGGCTCACGCCTGTAATCCCAACACTTCAGGAGGCCAAGGTCGGCAGATCACCTGAAGTCAGGAGTTTGAGACCAGCCTGGCCAACATGGCGTAACCCTGTCTCTACTAAAAACAGAAAAATTAGCAGAGGTTGTAGTGAGCCAAGCTTGTGCCACTGCACTCCAGCTTGGGTGACAGAGGGAGACTGCCTCAAAAAAAATAATTAAAAAGGCCGGGCACAGTGGCTCACACCTGTAATCCCAGAACTTCGGGAGGCCAAAGTGGGCAGATCACCTGAAGTCAGGAGTTTGAGACCAGCCTGGCCAACATGGCGCAACCCTGTCTTTACTAAAAATAGAAAAATTAGCCAGGCATGGTGGCGGACGCCTGTAATCCCAGGGACTCGGGAGCCTGAGGCAGGAGAATCTCTTGAACCCAGGAGGCAGAGGTTGCAGTGAGCCGAGATCACGCCACTGCACTGCAGCCCCGGCCGACTTCTAAACCAGTAATTGTCTGAAGAGAAAAAAAAATTACGAAATAAGGCCGGGCATGGTGGCTCACGCCTGTAATCCCAGCACTTTGGGAGGCCACGGTGGGTGGGTCACCTGAGGTCAGGAGTTCGAGACCAGCCTGGCCAACATGGTGAAATCCCGTCTCTACTAAAAGTACAAAACGATTAGCCGGGCGTGGTGGTGCACTCCTGTAATCCCAGCCACTTGGGAGTCTGAGGCAGGAGAATCACTTGAACCCGGGAGGTGGAGGTTGCAGTGAGCCGAGATCGCACCATTGCACTCCAGCCTGGGCAAGAAGAGCGAAACTCCATCTTAAATATAAATAAATAAATAATAATAAAAATAAAAAATAAAAGAAAGCGTTTATGAAAGTGTGGTCTCGGCCAGGCGCGGTGGCTCAAGCCTGTAATCTCAGCACTTCGGAAGGCCAAGGCGGGCGGATCACGGGGTCAGGAGATCAAGACCACCCTGGCTAACACGGTGAAACCCTGTCTCTACTAAAAATACAAAAAATTAGCCGGGCCGGGTGGTGGGCGCCTGTAGTCCCAGCTACTCGGGAGGCTGAGGGAGGAGAATGGCGTGAACCTGGGAGGCGGAGTTTGCAGTGAGCAGAGATCGCGCCATTGCACTCCAGCCTGGGTGACAGACAGAGACTCTGTCTCAAAAAAGAAAAAAAAAGAAAAAAAAAAGAAAAAGAAAGTGTGGTCTCTGTTGCCTACATCACCATCACCTTGAGTCCTACATCCTTTGAATGAGTCTTGGGGGTGTGCCCTAGAAAATCATTGGCCAATTCCCGAAGCCAGTACATGTAGAAGCCAAATCTGAGTTATGCAAATACATTATTTTTCTATTGTTCAACTTACCTCTATTTGGGTCTCCATTCTACCTGCCTGCAGAAAACATTCTCTCAGTCACTTCCAGGTGAACTCCGTCATCCCACTCCTTCTCCCACCTCCACCATTGATCTAAATTTGGGGAGTTCCTCTGAGCCACAGCCTAGGTGGGGTGGGGTGGGAAGGGGCTGCTGGATGAGAGTCCTCTTTCTGAGATGAATCCTCCTGGGCCCTTCATCTCCGTGGGTCACACATGCCCTCATTTCTACTCTGCTGCTGCCGTCCCCACGATCCAATAGCAATAGCACGACCCCTGGCCTTGACCGTGTATCTGGGGCTCTGTCCCTTCCACATCACCCCCAAACCAGCATCAAATGTCTTGTCTGGCTCTGCACTAGGCTCCCCTCAGTTAGTGCAGGGTGTCCAACTGGGGGCGGAAGGGCTTCCTGTGCCTGCCTCTTCCAATCCTCCATGTCTTATTTATACCCTGACAGACACTGAGGGTTTTGAACTTAAAAGGCTGGAATTTGGCATCTTTGTTCTCTGACTAGAAAGAGGAATCATTTGAAGACCAAAAAGCAGGAGCCAGCATCTCACAGCATGATCTGAGACCCCCGTGGAAGCTGCTCTTTTCTTTCTCATCACATAGGCTGAGCCACCCGGGACTGTCAGTGCACAAGGACCAGGGACGCGGCTGCTCCTCTGAGGGGGAGGAAGCCAAGAGTATCTTCTCTTAGATTGGGCTGAGTTCCCACACCCAGCACACACATTCCCTGCTCACTCACCTCCCACAGACAGCTGGGAAATGACACCTCTGGTGACAGAGCCACTCTCCGGGCTTCTGTGGGGAGCGGGTGGGGCACTGCAGTGGGGGAGGATCTCACACCCGGAGGCCCTGGGAAGCCAGGGTGGGGGAGGGAGGAAGCTGGTTCCTGTTTGTCTTAGAGATCAAGGCCATCAGCCTCCCTGCACCTTCCAGGGATGTAGTAAGCACCCCCACCCCAGGGCCAAAGGGCCTCGCCTAAAATGCCTCCTGCACCCTTGAGGCTTGCTTTGACCCCCTGCACTCCACCAGAGCGACAGCTCCCCTGGTCCCATCTTCTCTGACAAGCTGGGTGGGAGTGTATACAGCTGCTGGGTGTGCTTAGAGGGCCTAATGGAGACCAGCCAGGGATAATCTCCTATGTTATCCACATCAAGCCATTTAACAAATATGGATTTAGTACCTACATATGCAATGTATTTGGGGTCCAGAGAGAGGAGGGCAACGGTCCAAGGTCACACCTGCGAGGCGAATACGCATGTAAAGCAGCACCTTGTAACCTGTGCCCACTGTGCCTACTACTAAAGAAAAAAAAATGAGAGAAAAAGAAAAAAGGCTTTTTTTTTTTTTTTGGCCCAGGCCCTGTGCCTGGGACCAAAGCCTGAGCCCTTTCCTGCAGTCGGGTCGCTGACCTAAGCCTGGGGCAAAGCTAGGTCTTGGCCAGTCAGCAGCCACCACGTGAAGCAGCCCCTGCCCCCATCACCCCCGGCAGCCTTGTGCCCTCCTCCTCGGGGTCCTCAGCTCACCCCACCTCAGTCGGGCCTGCTCCAGCGGTTAAGTACCCCTAGTCTGAACCTTAATCGTGAGGCGGGGCAGCCCCCTCCCCACACCCTGTAGACACTCCCCCGTCCTCCGCCCCCTGGACTTGTTTGGGCGGGAAGAGCCTGCCTCATCTTTTCTTCCTACCCTCCTACCCAGTGGCCAGGGACCCCAGGCTTCCTCTGAGACATCCACCAGCGGTGATGGGTTGGGACCAATCTCCCCCACTCCTCTCCACCCTAGCAGTAAGGTCCCCGCTCTCGATACTGCCCCAGCACCTGCACTGGCCCTCTCTGATTTCCCAACTCCAGCCCATTCCAAGTGCTGAAGGCGGGTCGCTAGGTGCTGGGACCTGGGCGCGGGGCAAGACCTTGGGCTGTGTGGGGTGCAGGCTGGTTTACTGGGTTCACGATTGAGGGAGTGGTCTGGGGGTTAGGTGTAGGGCCAGGCTGCGTTGTGCTCTAAGGGGCAGGCGGCAGGCGGTTTGGGGGGGCTGTGGTCAGACAGGGTGGGGTGGCGGTGGGTTTGGGGAAGCCGCAGCAGCCCGCCTTGGGGTCCCGCGAGTGCCGAGGGAGCTGCCGGGGCATGGTGGCGCGGGGCCCGTGGTCCTGCCCGGCACGACCCCCGCCCCGCAGCGCCCCGCAGCGCCCCGCCCCCGCGGCCCCGCTCGCGACGCGTCTCCCGCGGCGCCCCGCCCCCGCCCGCAGTGCCCGGATGCGGGTGACGCGCGGCCGCCATCTTTCCGTCCCGGGCAGCCAGCGCCAGTCGGAGCCAGCGCGAGCCGCCGCCGCCATCACTGCCGCTGCCAAGTCCTCCACCCGCTGCCCCCGCCATGTGAGTCGGCCGCCCGCCACCCTCACCGCGCTTCCCTGCGCCGGCCGCCGCCCTTGGCAACCGGCCGTCGGGAGTGCCCGGGGTCTCTCCTGCGTTCCCCGCGCCCCGGGGCCAGGCCCAAGCCGGTGACTGCGCGCGGGCGGCCGAGGAGCCCCGCGTCCCGGGCTGGCCGGCTCGGGCGATGGCCGCGGGAAGGAGCGGACCCAGTGTCCTCCTGCCCCTCCCCGCCCCTGTCACCGCGGCCGCCTGTCTTTTCGGGTCGACCCGGATCGCATCTGTGAGGTCGCCCTCAGTTGACAGGCGGGGAAACTGAGGCCGGGGGGGCCTCGCTCAAGGTCACGCAGCTCATCGGCGGCAGGGCTGGACCGAGACCAGGGCTTACATCGGGTGGCCTTCCTCCCGAAAAGGAGGACTGGAGGGACGAGGATGGACAGGTGGATGGGCGGAGCCCTGGCTGCGGGGCCGGGAGGCTGCAGGCCCTGGGTCTTAATCCGTCCCTGCTCCTCAGGTCTGCTACCGCTGCCACGGCCCCCCCTGCTGCCCCGGCTGGGGAGGGTGGTCCCCCTGCACCCCCTCCAAACCTCACCAGTAACAGGAGACTGCAGCAGACCCAGGCCCAGGTGGATGAGGTGAGTGTGGGGGGAGTCAAAAGCAGTAGGAGGGACCCTGGGGGTTGGCGTATAGGTGTAGGGGCCCATGTTGGTTTGGGAGTGATGACAGTTCACGCCTGTGGGTTTGCGGACAAAGATACCATGCCCCATCCCTGTCTCCCTGTCAGCACGCACTTGGAAGGGCGCTGGGGGTGTTAATCAGCTTTGCTAGCCTGGGGTGTGCCAGCCTGGGCAGGTGTGCTCTGGTGATGGACAGAGCGCCTGAGGTTCCATAGAGGGAGGGTGTTGCTATGACATCTGAGATGTCACCAGCATGCCCCTGATGTGTGCTCCTTGCATGTCCCCAGGTGTGCTAGGCATGTTCTGTGTGTCCTTGGCATGTTAACCTGGCAGTATCAGGGTGCATGTTCCATGTGTGGCACGGTGGGCACATGTTTGAGGATTGCCCTCACTGAGGTGGGCCTTGGCACACCCCCCTGCCTCGTGGGCCCTTCTCCCAGGTGGTGGACATCATGAGGGTGAACGTGGACAAGGTCCTGGAGCGAGACCAGAAGCTGTCGGAGCTGGACGACCGTGCAGATGCACTCCAGGCGGGGGCCTCCCAGTTTGAAACAAGCGCAGCCAAGCTCAAGCGCAAATACTGGTGGAAAAACCTCAAGGTAAGGGTGGGGACAGGAAGGAGGACAGGTGGGTGAATGGGGTATCATAGTTTGTCTTACTGATCCTCGCCTCTCACCCCCAGATGATGATCATCTTGGGAGTGATTTGCGCCATCATCCTCATCATCATCATAGGTGAGTAGGGTGAGAATGGCCGGGGCCCTTTCCCTGGAGAGGTTTCCCCAGTGGATTCTAGGTTTTGAAGGTCATTAATCTAGTTTTTACTCTTCAGCCAAAAACACATATAGCTGCTAATGGCAATTCTGATTCATCTAGAGCCAAAAACTTTGATGTTATTTAGCCTGCATTTTGCCTAGTTCTTGGCAGTCTTGTTAACATTTGGAAATAGGAAAGCTGGTGTATCCATTGAGGACCCTTTAGGCCTAAGAGCCCAGTCTGAGAACCCTGGAATTGAGGAGTGGGAGAAAGGAAAGGACCAGGGGCTTGAGACATGACCAGGAAGCCAACCACCCCATTATTTGAGAGCTTGCGGTCTCAGAGGCTCAGAGGATTAGGGTCTGTGGCTTCAAGGCCATACCATGGAGCGGAAGGGACCTCAGAACCTACCTGTCTAGCCCCTTGCTTTGTAGATGGAAAAACTGAGTCCAAGAGAGGGTGTCAGCCAGCTGGGGAGTGGGGAGGATTGGAGCAGGGCCAGGCCTGACACACTGCTTTCTTGTTCTCTCTCTTTCTCTCCCCTCTCCCTCTTCCTCATCTTCTTCCCCTCTCTCCACAGTTTACTTCAGCACTTAAATCCCCGAGGAGTCTGCCCTGCCTAGAGAAGGGCCTCTCCCCCAACCCTCAGCCGTTCCTCCACCTCTCAGCCATATCTTTCAGCCCCCACTCCCCTGGATCCGTGTGTGTGTGTGTCCGTGTGTGTGTCCCCCTGTAAATAGCCAGCTGTTATTTATACATATATAATATTATATATATTTGGTCTGTTTGTAGTTTTATTACTAGATGATTTTTCCGGTTGTCCTTAACACCCCTTCCTGAGGTTCCCTTCACCCCTCTCTCTTGCCTTCCTTCCCTTTCCCTTTCTTCCTGACTAGCCCCAAGTCCCTTCATTTGCATCTGCTATGCAATAGTCCCTCTCCTTTCCTTCTTCTTCCCTCAGATTTAGCTGATCCTTCCTCCCACCCTGGCCTTCCTTTCCTCTTTCCTCCTCACTCTCCCCGTCATGCTCCCTCTGCCCCGCCCTCAAAAAAAAAAAAAAAAAAAAAAAAACAACAGCACCTGTCCAGGCTTCCTTAGGTACATCTTCTTTGTATCCATTGGGAGGCTCTGAGACTGGCCCCACTTGGTCCTAAGAATCCCAAGGTCTTTGGGAGCGTCCAGCATGTTAATTAGCGTATCATTACATACTGCTATCCCTTTCCATTTCTTTTTGTTCCATCACTCTTCTCTCAACCTGTGTTTCTTTTTTTACTGAGGAGTTAGTCCCCATTAGTTCTTGTATCACATTTTCATTTGCACGACATTACTCGCAGGTGGTGGGGAGCCTGGGCTTTTGGGGAACCAGGCTGCTCTGGTCCCCAGCATTGCCTCCTCCTAGCCCCTCTAGTCCAGTTTGCCTCCCTTACCCTCATTTTCCAAACCTCTTGTACCCTCCTCTCCCTCCCCCAGCTGGTATGTAAGTGTCTTGAAGTTCAGTATGTTATGATGGACCAATAATTCTGCCACTTCGGGTTTCTCCCTACATTCCTGCTCCCCAGTTTTCATGTGGGGTACTCAACTGACATTCCCATGGGGTTTCCCTCCCATCTGCCTGATCCACCTCCTCCTCCCACCAGGAGAGTTGGGGGTTGGCCACAATTGATCTCTTGTGAGAGGGGTGGCTACCAGTGTGTGTGTGGGGGTCATCACTGCCTTGGGGAGGAGTGGGGCAGGGCAGAGAATCCCCCCAATTCCTGCCTGAAATCTCTGGCCTCACCCCTGCTGGGGGTTGGACTGAAAACCCTCCTCCCCAATTTGGGGGGTGTTGCCCCATCACTGCCCAGCTCCTCTGACTGCCCCCCCTGAATTTAGGGTGGGGGTACTAGTCACTGCCAATGTGTGTATGGGACTTGCTGGAAAACGGGGATGCTTGCCCCTCTCCAGGACTATTGAGCCCAGAGAGAGCTGTCCTCTCATTGGGTGAACTGATTGAGGAAGGGTCTATTGTCTTTTTAAATGGCACAATTTTAAGGGTTTGAGGGTACAGTCCCTTAACCTGCCACGGGAGGGGGCCCCCAAACTTTCTTCCCCCCACACTTCTGGTTTTCTGTGTGGAGGGGGAGCAGGGATATCTAAGCTGTGGTGTGAAAGGGTAGGAGAGATGCTGGAGGTGGGGGTGCTGTGTTTTAGACCCCCCATATTATCCCAGTGTCCCCTGCCCCCCTCTTCCCCCACCCCATGCCCCCAATTCTGTGGCGCATCCAGATTGTGAAAATGTACAATAAATGTGTAATGAGTAACCAGGTGTTGTCTAAGATCTTTTTTATTTTTCTATTTTTTTTTTTTGGTTGGGGGAGAATAAGATCTTTTCTTAACCAATGGGAATAATATTGGATCGGAAGGTATACCAGGAAGGTTGAGAAGATACATTGGTAATGGACTGGACTTTGCAAGAGGCCCTGACCTTGGGCAGGGCAAAGTGTGATTCTCAAAGTGGCCACAGGGGGGCACTAGGAGTTGGTAATGGGAAGTGTCATAGCCAGCCCGTGTCTCTAAGCCCGGTGCGCCCTGTGGTCTAGGGTTCCCAGCTTTCGTTTCCCTTTACTGGGGCATGTTCCTGCTGTTGGACTCCTTTCTACTCCTCGATTTAACTTCTAGACGCTCTGCCGTGGCTCCCGTGCAGCAGTAGATGAAGTAGTTGGCCATTTCTGTGAAGCATGTCTTCCCCTCTGTGCCTAACCCAGTGCCAGCGCCCAGATGGGGTTAGTAAATTGTGGTTTAAATAGGCTCACAGAGACAAAGCTGAGTATGTTGTGGAGCTGCCTGTAGATGGCCTACTACCCCTGTACTCTGTTGTATGACTTGTGACTTTAGACCCCACACTGAACTGCCACAGCCTGTAGGTCCAGGAGGCCCCGATGTGGCATCTTAGTATCCCTGTTCCCAGGTGCTTCAACAATGAGTGGCCGGCCGCGGTGGCTCACGCCAGTAATCCCAGCCCTTTGGGAGGCCGAGGTGGGCGGATCACGAGGTCAGGAGTTCAAGACCAGCCTGGCCAACACAGTGAAACCACATCTCTACTAAAAATACACACAAAAAATTAGCCGGGGATGGTGGCGGGCACCTGTAATCCCAGCTACTCGGGAGGCTGAGGCAGAGAATTGCTTGAACCTGGGAGGTGGAGGTTGCAGTGAGCCCAGATCACCCCACTGTGCTCCAGCCTGGGTGACAGAACGAGACTGTCTCAAAAAAAAAAAATCCACTTAACACGATGTTGAACAAATGAGAGTATATTTTAGGTAGAGTGTGGTGGCTCACGCCTGTAATCTTATCACTTTGGGAGGCTGAGGCAGGCAGATCATTTGAGGTCAGGAGTTCGAGACCAGCCTTGCCAACATGGTGAAACCTCACCTCTACTAAAAATACAAAAAACTAGGCGTGGTGGCATGCGCCTGTAATCCCAGCTACTTGGGAGGCTGAGGCAGGAGAATCGCCACCGCGCGCGGCCTTTTTTTGCTTTGAGACAGTCTCACTCTGTCACCCAGGCTGGAGTGCCTTGGTGCAATCTCGGCTCACGCAACCTCCGCCTCCTGGGTTTAAGCAATCCTTGTGCCTCAGCCTCCTGAGTAGCTGGGATTACAGGTACCCACCACCATGCCCGGCTAATTTTTGTAGGGATTTTTTTTTTTTTTTTTGAGACAGAGTCTTGCTCTGTCGCCCAGGCTGGAGTGCAGTGGTGCGATCTCGGCTCACTGCAAGTCCCGCCTCCCGGGTTCACGCCATTCTCCTGCAGTAGCTGGAACTACAGGCGCCCGCCACCTCGCCCGGCTAATTTTTTGTATTTTTAGTAGAGACGGGGTTTCACCGTGTTAGCCAGGATGGTCTTGATCTCCTGACCTCGTGATCAGCCCGCCTCAGCCTCCCAAAGTGCTGGGAATACAGGCGTTAGCCACCGCGCCCGGCCGTCGTTTTTTTTTTTTTTTTTTTTTTTTTTTAGAAGAGACAGGGTTTTACCATGTTGGCCAGGCTGGTCTCAAACTCGTGACCTCAAGTGATCCACCCACCTCAGCCTGCCAAAGTACTGGGGTTACAGGCGTGAGCCACCGTGATTCTTATAATTAGGTACACAATCATTACCAGAATGTCCAACTTGATTGAAGTCTTACTATATGCCAGGCAGTGCTCAGGATTTCGCACTGCCAACTCAAATTCCTTCCAGGTTTAAGAGTTCCCATGGGCCCCAGGACCCGCCTGCTTTATGGTGTCGGGGACTTGGGTTCAAGTTTTCGCCTTGTTACTGACTAGCGTGTTACAGGCGAACAGATTACGTAACCCCCCTGCATCTCGGTCTCATTTGTGAGGCGGGGGGAGTATGTGAGCTGGCCTCCTCAGAGTTTGTGAGAAGCGCCTGGCCTGGCCCGCAGAAAACAATCAGGAAGAGGCTCTCTTATTTTCATCGTCACCAAGACACCGTGCTGAGATCTGAAGACCGCTTCACCCTAATACTCTCACCTTCCAGCTTCAGGGAGCCTCGGTGGGACCCAGGGCCGGAACCCCAGCGCCAGAGGCGCCCTAGTCACGCCCGGGTCTCTGTACAAAGTGCGCCTTATACGCTGCCACCGCTCACGGCTGCGCCTGCGCAGATTTAGCAGCCGTGGTTAAGAGTGTCGTCAAGGAAAATCCCCAGCTTCTGGGTAAACAAGTTGCCGCGTGAGACCGCCGGCACGTGTACCCTACAGCTCCAAGACCTCTCAGCCTATGAGAAAGCTTGGAGAGCGGGACTGGCATTTACGTCACCAATCTTGGCAGGTCGGGGGTTATTTCCCCAGCCAATAAGAACCTCAGAAGTGTCGAGGGCGTGGCTTCCGGTCAGGCTTCCAATCCCCGCGTTGGGGCGGCCCCTCTCTCACGTGTATCTCTCCCGCCCCCGTTGGCCTGCTGACCAATGAGAAGACGATGGCGGCCGGAGGTGCCAATGGAGGCTGTGCGGGGGCCGGCGGCTGCACGCGGCACGGGGCATGGGTCGGCGCCCCTAAGCCAATAAGCGTGGGGGGCGTGGCAGCCCGGCCCGTGGGCGGGTTTGGAGGAGCCAGTGTAATGCTAGAAGTCCTAGAAGAAATTTGGAGTGTGCGTGCGCGCCGAGCGGTGAGTGCTCGGGGATGGGGGAGAGATGCGGGGCGATCGGTGTGGACTTTTCCGGGGTGGTGTGGTCGGTTAGGAAGGTGTTAGAGTGTGTGTGTGTGGGATCATGCAAATACGTGATAACTGCGGTGGGAGCTCTGATGGTTGTGGAGAATAGGGACCGTGAACTCAGGTCTAGAGGGACGGGGTGGGAGTTAGTGACATCAGATCCCTCGCCCCCGTGGAGTCCCTGGACACTTGACTGCCCGGGGGGAAGGGCTCGGAAGCCCTCTGCGACCTGAGGGAGCTCCCTCTCAGGTCGGGACTGAAGGAGCCCCTGCTCCCAGGGTGTTTGGGTGGTCTCCTTAAACACTTGAAAGAGGCAGAGGTTCGGAGGCCGGAGGGAGGCCCTGGTAGGGCAAGTCGGAGGGTACCAAAGGGTTGGCATGCTGATATGAGAAAGGATGGTGTTTTAATTTGTGAGACCCAGAGCTAGTCACATTACGGCTCCGGGCGTCTTTCTCATGTTAAGCGGAAGGGTTTAGGCCTCAGAGTCGTCCTTGAGAATAGACGTGGGGTAGCAACTATTGAGTCCTGAGAGGATAGGGTTGGGGTTTGGGCAGATTGGCTGTGCACGTCTTCCTGAGCCCCTAGAGGTGGGGAGGCACCAACAGGGTGTTTTGGTATCTGTCTGTACAAACAACCAGGCCAGGCGTCTGGTAAAGTTGGCCTGAGGTAAAGTAGAAAAGTGAGGAAGTGGGCTTCGTAGGAAATCATTGGGGCTGGTGGCTGCTTGGGTGATCTCAAGCACTTTGTGAGCCTGGGAAAACGGGCTATGATGTTAAGTGTGTGGGGAGTGCAAACAGTGGCTTCGGATCAGGCCTAAGGCAGAGAAAGGGGTTGGATGGAGTCTGTGTTCCTGGCACCAAACTTAGAATTGGCTGGATATTTGAGAGGCCAGGTTTGCCAGTGCTGGAATGCAGCTTACAGGTTGGTTAACACCTCACAGGTTCCTCAAGGGTAAGAAACCAGAATGACAAGCCATTATTAGAGTTCAGATTTTTGAATCCTGGGCTCCATTTGTTAAGAGCTTGAGACCATGTTATGAGGCACTGGACAAGTTTAGTAACTTCCGTGCCTTAGTTATCCCCCATGGAATGGGGATAATAATACCTATCTCACGGGGTTGTTCTGGGGATGAAATAAGATAATATAAAGTGCTTAGCATAATGCCTGGGTTATGGTGAGAGATTTATGTGAATGCTGTGGCTGGGAACTAGTCTCATATTCTCAAGTTTTTCTGCAAGTTTTGATGGCGTCCCATTTCTCTCTTCCTGGCTCTTTTGGTCTTCAGGCAGCAGTCCAAATTCCCTCATTCCTCCCTTCTAGCCCTCTCCCAGGATCCAGGCCCTAGACTGGGCCACTTGCTCTGTCCCAGTTTGATTTTTTCATCCTAGGCCCCTTCTCCTCCCTGTCCGCGCCCCTCTCCCTTTCCCCCCGCCCGCTGTCATAATAAGAGATTCAGGCTCTGAAGGGGCTTCTGGAAGGTAGCAAAGGTGCGTCGTGTTCTCTCCCAGAGACAGGACCTCCAACTTCTCCGCCCTGGGTCTTTGGTACCAGGCCAGCAGATGTGTACAGTTTGGGAGAGAGGAAAAGCCAGAGCTGCAGGAACAAGCTGAGGAGCGGGCAGATGGGAGTCCTGAAAAGAGAGCCAGGCGTGGTGGGGGGAGGTGTGGGGAGGGGGCCCCCTTCCTACTAATCCTCTCTCCAGGAATCCCTGGCTTTGGGACAGGACGGCTGTCGTTTTGTTGGGGGAGGCGCCCAGGCTGGGTGCATGTCCTGGGCCACCAGCCAAGAGAACATGATGTTCCCAAGTGCGCTGGCCGCCGCCCTCTCGGGCTGGCCGCCTCCCAAACCGCTGCCTCTCCAGTCTCTCCAGCCTCCCTGCCCCACATTCCGAGGCAGCTTCGCCCCGCCCCCTTCTTCCGCTTTGACGTCACTGCTGTCTCCCGCCCCCTCGCCTCCATTGACGGCAGCAGGGCCTGGTTACTGTGGGGACGGTGAAGCAGGACAACAAGAGTCTTGGGAGCAAGCGGGGGCTGCTGGAGGGCTGGAGCCTTTTGTCTATGCAAAAGACAGGGAGATGGAGGCGGGAGATCAAGGACTGCCTGGGTTAGGGGAGATCACACCTAAATCCCTGAAGGGGGAGAAAAACCATGTTTCCAGGGAAGAGGTATCTGCAAACGAGATAAGGCCAAAGCCACAGTATGAGTTGGGGTGGAGAGGATCATTTTCAGGGAGAGGAGACTGAGAATCCAAGCTCCTGAATCTTTTTTTTTTTTTTTAATAGAGACGGGGTTTCTCCATGTTGGTCAGGCTGGTCTCGAACTCGCTACCTCAGGTGATCCGCCTGCCTGGGCCTCCCAAAGTGCTGGGATTACAGGCCACCGCGCCCGGCCTCCAGGCTCCTGAATCTTTTGTTTTCCTGTTTCGATTTTTCTGGGTTAATTTATAACACGATCTTGTCTCAGCTTTTCCACAGAGCCCTCCCCTTCACCCTTCCCTCATTGTTCAGGAAAGCTTAGGCCACGTGACAGTGAGGGGAGTGCCCCCACAATGATTATGTCAGCAGCTGCTTGGAGGCCTGTTCATCTACTACCCACGTTTCCAGGGAGCCCTGCGAGGAACTACTCATCACGGTCCTGGATGGAGGGGGCTGTGTAACTGCAGCTCTCCTGAGCCCAGACTAACATTTTATTGCCTGCAAATCGTGCCCCTGTTCTCTTTCTAGGACTACTCATCTCTTTTAGAGAATCAGAATTCCCAGCCCCCTTTCTCCTGTTGACACTCTTTTCCCACCTCCCCAACCTATCCTTGTTTAAAAAAAAAAAAATCATGTTTATCGATCACTTGCCATGTGTCAGGTCCTGTCCTGGGCTCTGGAGACTACAGTGAATGAGACAGATGACGTTCCGTCTGGGCCCCTGGAGTTTGGCTTTCTCTTTTCCAAGCAGTGGAAATATGAAGCCCTTGCCACCCCACATTTCTCTGTCTAGGGCCCCAGCTGGCCTCTTCTCTGGGCCATCCCCTTGGTCCCTCTGTAGTCCTGGCTTCCTGGCCCCCACTTTTGGGGCAGCTTTAACTGTGGGTGGCTGCGTCCTCTGGAGGAAAGTACTAGACACCACGTAGGCTGCCCGGAGACCTTGTCTCTGAGTGGCCATAGAAGCACCTGCCATTGTTTCCCTTCACAGCCACTATTGGCTCTGGTTGCCCCTTCCATTGTCCGCATCCTTCCTCCACCCACTCACCCACCGGTCACACGTGGACCCTTAACTGTCCTCTCCCAGGATTTGAAGTGTCAGAGGAAGTGCTTCGGTTAAAGGGCTTCATTATGTAGAACGAAGGTTGGGAGGGAACAAGGTTGGGAAAGGAACCCAGGAGAGGCCCAGGCAGGTTTCTGTCTCTCCCCTCCTCTCAAGGACCACCCATCTCATCCAGCGTGGCCTAACTTGCAGCGCCATTCCTTTTCCTCACCCTTGGAAAGGCGAAGATGCCAAGATGTTGTGTTCTGCAAGGCTAGTGCGTTCAGGAAGTAGACAAGTCTTGAGCACCTACCCCGGGCCGGGCTTTTTCCCTAAAGAGGCGCAGCGTATCTCCCTCTCTCCTCCCTTCCATTATTCAATGTGCAAGCGTCCTGCGCCCATTGGCTGGGCGGTGTCTGGGGCTCTTCAGCCCAGCACCAGCACCCAGGTCCACGTGCGCCCGTGTGTGTGACACAGCCCTGACCTTAGTGGAGACCACTAGCCAATCAGGCGCCGGGAAGAGATCCCCAGCCAATCGGGGGCGGGGCCTGCGGCTCCGTCGGCAAGAGGCCAATGAGGGGGCAGTGCCCGGCATTATGCAACCCGCCTCCCCGCCCGCCCGGTGGAGCTTCCACTCGGCTGCGGGCTGGAGCGGCGGCGGGCAGGCGTGCGGAGGACACTCCTGCGACCAGGTAGGCATCTCTGCGGCCATCCTGGGGCCGATCTCCGTCCCTGAGCCGGACCGCTGCCACTTCCAATCTGATGGGCTACTTTCGGCCCAGGCAGAGGGCACACTGTCGTCCTTACCGCTACCCACCCTCTCCCTGCCCCCAAGGACCGAAGTCCTCCTCGAAATCTTGCACCGGGAGTCTGCACTCCTGACCCACTCATCTTACCTCCAGCTTGTCCCCACCTCCCCGTCCCAGCTTTCCCGGCCCCACAGCCGACTCTCAGCGGGCATGCCCCGGTCTTCTTGCTCGTTACTCGAGGGGCCCCAGGTTTGCCCCGGTACCAGGACCCTATTAGGCTTTCAGCGCTCCCCGTGTCTCTGTTCTCCAGTCCCTGGCCCTGCGCCGCCTGTGATGTCAGCCCACTTCGGACTAGAACATCCCGTTCCCAGCGCTGGTTCCTGCTGTTGGCCACAACCTTCCCTTTTCCCCTGGCGCTCAGAAAATGCTCAGTAGTAGGGGTGTGGTTGGACGGGGAGTAGGGGAAGAAAGATCTGTTGGCTGTTGTGTGTCTTCTGCCCAAGGCTTGGGGTTGGTGGGGGGGTCTGGCCAGAAAAGTAGGGGACTGAAGAGAGAGGATCCTCGGGTCCTTGACGATGGCAGGTTGCCGGCTTCGGTCCTTGTGGTGGGGAAGCAGCGCAGGGGCTAAAGAAGGAAAGGTTGTGTTGTCTTGACCAGAATGACTGGGATCCAGGCGAGAGTCAGGTTGAGGGGCTTTTGCGCCGAGGGCAGTGGCCGTTGTGCTTCGTCCTGGGGAAGCCAGGACCAACCCTGGGATCCTAATAGGCCGTCCCACTTCTTACGGCCACCGAGCCATCCTGGGACTGGGGATATGTAAGGGATGCGTGACCCCCCCGGCCGCGCCCACCAGTGTGAGAGTGGGCCGTTCCCCCACTTCCGCCGGGAAATGGGGGAGGGGTCGCTCCTCCCGCCCTCCTGTGGTCCCTCCAGCAACCGCTGAGCTCAGCAGCTGACGTCGGTTTCCCTGGCGACCGTGGCGGCGGCGGAAGCGCGTGGTGGGGCCGCGCACGTCGGCGCGCATGTGCAGCGGGGGTGGCACCGCCCCCGGATAAAATTAGCCTGGAGGCCTAAATATAGGAGGCGACCAGCTCACCTCCTGCTCCGAGGCCTTGGAGGCCCAGGCAGAGTGGACACCTAATGGGAACTTGGGAATGGGAAGTGTCCAGGTTTTTGTCTACAGCCGTGGTTCTCATTGACTGCTCAGGCCATGGTGGCAGGGGATGTGAAGGAAGGCCCCGGAGAACCTTCTCCCGCTGGCAGTCCCCCTAAGGGTACAGGAGACATCCTGACTCCCCATTGGAAGCCCCAGGCCTGGGTTCCACTCCCATCAGTCCTGCAGGAGGCCAGGCAGGGGGAAGGTCTGAGTGAAGCCAGCAGGTGCTCTGGAGTTAAACCAGCTTTCTGCAAGCCCTGCTTCCTGGTCTCCCTCTCCAGGTACTGGCTGTGATCGAACTTCTCAACCCTCAGAGACTTAGATCTTCCACCTCACTCCCTCAGCCAAGCCTCCAGGCCCCCTCGTGCATCCGTGGTGGCCTCTCTGCCTTCTCTGTTCTGTTCTCCCCATGGCCCAGACATGAGTGGCCCCCTAGAAGGGGCTGATGGGGGAGGGGACCCCAGGCCTGGGGAATCATTTTGTCCTGGGGGCGTCCCATCCCCTGGGCCCCCACAGCACCGGCCTTGCCCAGGCCCCAGCCTGGCCGATGACACCGATGCCAACAGCAATGGTTCAAGTGGCAATGAGTCCAACGGGCATGAGTCTAGAGGCGCATCTCAGCGGAGCTCACACAGCTCCTCCTCAGGCAACGGCAAGGACTCAGCCCTGCTGGAGACCACTGAGAGCAGCAAGAGGTGTGTATGGATGTGTATGTTGGGTCTAGGAATGGTCTTGTGAGCAGGCAGAGCTGGGTGACAGGCCTCGCACTGCTGGCCCTACCTGTAACTGGGCCTGTTGCTGTCTCCTAGCACAAACTCTCAGAGCCCATCCCCACCCAGCAGTTCCATTGCCTACAGCCTCCTGAGTGCCAGCTCAGAGCAGGACAACCCGTCCACCAGTGGCTGCAGGTACGTCGGGTGAGGCTGGAGGAGAGGTCTGGGGGCCCAGGCCACACTCTGGGACTAATGTCTTTATCTCTTTCTTCCCTGTGGGCCCCGCAGCAGTGAACAGTCAGCCCGGGCAAGGACTCAGAAGGAACTCATGACAGCACTTCGAGAGCTCAAGCTTCGACTGCCGCCAGAGCGCCGGGGCAAGGGCCGCTCTGGGACCCTGGCCACGCTGCAGTACGCACTGGCCTGTGTCAAGCAGGTGCAGGGTAAGTGGTGTGTCCCAAGAGGGAATGGCCTGGGCCTGGGCTCCCGTGTTGAGGCAGCCTCCTTACTGAATGCCTCACTGCCTCCACTCTGCAGCCAACCAGGAATACTACCAGCAGTGGAGCCTGGAGGAGGGCGAGCCTTGCTCCATGGACATGTCCACCTATACCCTGGAGGAGCTGGAGCACATCACGTCTGAGTACACACTTCAGAACCAGGTCAGCGGCGGCCTGGCCTCTGCATCCCGACGCACCCCTACTCCTTCTCCCACAGCTCTTGAATCTGCTCTTGCTCTCCCCCTCCTGCCAGGATACCTTCTCAGTGGCTGTCTCCTTCCTGACGGGCCGAATCGTCTACATTTCGGAGCAGGCAGCCGTCCTGCTGCGTTGCAAGCGGGACGTGTTCCGGGGTACCCGCTTCTCTGAGCTCCTGGCTCCCCAGGATGTGGGAGTCTTCTATGGTTCCACTGCTCCATCTCGCCTGCCCACCTGGGGCACAGGGGCCTCAGCAGGTGAGGTGCCCAAGCGCTGTGGGGAGGCATGAGCAGTCCCAGGAAATTCCTGCTGTGAGGGGCCGGGGAACCCAGACTTTCCCTTAGTGGATTCTTCGCAGCCTAGGGAAGGGGCAGGAAGCTGTGCTCACTCCTCTCCTGTCTGTCCCAGGTTCAGGCCTCAGGGACTTTACCCAGGAGAAGTCCGTCTTCTGCCGTATCAGGTAGGTGAGGGGAACTGGAGAAGACCTCTGCCTCCTTTTTTTTTTGTTTTTGTTTTTGTTTTTGCTTTTTGAAAGGGAGTCTCACTCTGTCACCCAGGCTGGACTGCGGTGGCACGATCTCGGCTCACTGCAACCTCCGCCTCCCAGGTTCAAGCGATTCTCCTGCCTCAGCCTCCCAAGTAGCTGGGATTACAGGCATGCGCCACCACGCCCAGCTAATTTTTGTATTTTCAGTAGAGACGGGGTTTCACCATGTTGGCCAGGCTGGTCTCGAACTCCTGACCTCAGGTGATCCGCCTGCCTTGGCCTCCCAAAGTGCTGGGATTAAAGGCGTGAGCCACCGTGCCCGGCCTACCTCTGCCTCCTCCTGCCCCCTCCCCAGCGTCTTTGCTGTTGTCTGCTGTGACCTTATTGTTGGAGGAGTGGGTGGCTCTCTGTTGAAAGTCCCTAATGCTCCTCTCTCCTTTGCTAGAGGAGGTCCTGACCGGGATCCAGGGCCTCGGTACCAGCCATTCCGCCTAACCCCGTATGTGACCAAGATCCGGGTCTCAGATGGGGCCCCTGCACAGCCGTGCTGCCTGCTGATTGCAGAGCGCATCCATTCGGGTTACGAAGGTGGGCAGGTCAGGGCCCTGGCCTGGTGGGGGCTGGGAGGAAGGACATTTCCTCATGGCCAGACATGAATTTGGGAGGCATGAACCACACCCTTTGAATTTTGGAACAAGAAAAGCTATTGTAAAGATGAGGATTTGAGCTCCTCTTAGAGGTAGAGTTGAATAAGGTGCCCAAGCTAGAGGAGGGCAGAGAAGAATGCCTTGCTTGCTCTCAGTCATGTTACTGATACAGGGCATAGGATTGGCCCAGACCATCTTTGGGCCCATAGTGCCCGGGGCAGAGCTGTGTGGCAGATCATCAGCCAGCCTGGGCCCAGGCAGAGTGGAGGGCTGAGGAGTTGGGCATTCTGGACGAAACCCAGTGACCACACTCTCTGTGCCTCAGCTCCCCGGATACCCCCTGACAAGAGGATTTTCACTACGCGGCACACACCCAGCTGCCTCTTCCAGGATGTGGATGAAAGGTGAGGATAGGACCTAGAGGAGACGAGGGCAGCCAGGGCTGAGGCCACGGCCACTCTGATGCCTCCTTCCCGTTCAGGGCTGCCCCCCTGCTGGGCTACCTGCCCCAGGACCTCCTGGGGGCCCCAGTGCTCCTGTTCCTGCATCCTGAGGACCGACCCCTCATGCTGGCTATCCACAAGAAGAGTGAGTTCCTCTCGCCCTGCTCGCCCTTCCCACTGTCCTGGGCTTTTGAGTGGCTGCCCTTGTGGTTGTGTCTCTTGGTGCCTTGGTCTCCTGGATCTCTAGTGGCATGGCCTCCCTCTTACTCAGCTCTCCCTCCCTTTGACCGCTCCTCCTTTCCCACTTCCATCAGTTCTGCAGTTGGCGGGCCAGCCCTTTGACCACTCCCCTATCCGCTTCTGTGCCCGCAACGGGGAGTATGTCACCATGGACACCAGCTGGGCTGGCTTTGTGCACCCCTGGAGCCGCAAGGTAGCCTTCGTGTTGGGCCGCCACAAAGTACGCACGTAAGTGGGCCATGCCCCCGAGCTGGCGTTGGGGATAGGGCAGTGCGGTGGGGGACAGGACCGGGCCAGGGCTGGATTCACTCTTCACTCTACAGGGCCCCCCTGAATGAGGACGTGTTCACTCCCCCGGCCCCCAGCCCAGCTCCCTCCCTGGACACTGATATCCAGGAGCTGTCAGAGCAGATCCACCGGCTGCTGCTGCAGGTGAGAGTAGCGGAGAGGGAGCCTGGGAGGTGAGAAAAGGTGTGGGAAGCCGGGTCAAGCCATCTAACCTGCCCTCTCCCTGCTGCAGCCCGTCCACAGCCCCAGCCCCACGGGACTCTGTGGAGTCGGCGCCGTGACATCCCCAGGCCCTCTCCACAGCCCTGGGTCCTCCAGTGATAGCAACGGGGGTGATGCAGAGGGGCCTGGGCCTCCTGCGCCAGTGAGTGACCTGCTCCTACCTCACCCTCTAATCGCCCTTTCCCCTCTCCTTCTTGGAACCAGCACTGCCAGTCCCAGAGTCTTGCCCGATCCTCCTTTGCCCTCTCCTTCCTGCCTTTTCCTTCTTGTCCTGCTCCCATCAAGGCGTCTGTGCCTCCCCACTGGTACCTTCTTGTTTTATTGTGCCCTTGGCCCCTGACACTGGCGACACCCCCTGGTTCTGCTCACTGTGGTGCTGTGTCCCACAGGTGACTTTCCAGCAGATCTGTAAGGATGTGCATCTGGTGAAGCACCAGGGCCAGCAGCTTTTTATTGAGTCTCGGGCCCGGCCTCAGTCCCGGCCCCGCCTCCCTGGTGAGTTGATGATGATGTGTGGGTGAAGAGACAGACCTGGGGGGTCCCCTGACCTTCACCCCCAACCCATTTGCTGTTTTTTTCCATGTGAGCTTGAGAAGGCTATTTTCCTCTTTCTCTCTTTGCCCCAGCTACAGGCACGTTCAAGGCCAAGGCCCTTCCCTGCCAATCCCCAGACCCAGAGCTGGAGGCGGGTTCTGCTCCCGTCCAGGCCCCACTAGCCTTGGTCCCTGAGGAGGCCGAGAGGAAAGAAGCCTCCAGCTGCTCCTACCAGCAGATCAACTGCCTGGACAGCATCCTCAGGTAAGGCCTGCCAGGCATCTTCTCCACCTCGGGCTCTAACCCTGCCCACCCCAAGCCCTGCTCTGATGCCCTGTGCTGTGTCCATCCCCAGGTACCTGGAGAGCTGCAACCTCCCCAGCACCACTAAGCGTAAATGTGCCTCCTCCTCCTCCTATACCACCTCCTCAGCCTCTGACGACGACAGGCAGAGGACAGGTCCAGTCTCTGTGGGGACCAAGAAAGGTAAAGATCCAATGCACCCTGCTCCCACTGCCCCGTCCTGGCCTGGTGGCCCTGTGTCTTTTCCCTTCTGCTTCTGGGCCCTCTTGCTCTGCCCTGCTCTCCTCCCCAGCCTCCTGGTCTCCAGACTGTTCCCTCTGTTCCCTACCACCATCCCCTTCCCCTTTTCCCTGGGATCCTCTCTCCTGACTTCCCAGTGGGGGTGGGGATGGTAACTGGCACCATCTCTCTGCACAGATCCGCCGTCAGCAGCGCTGTCTGGGGAGGGGGCCACCCCACGGAAGGAGCCAGTGGTGGGAGGCACCCTGAGCCCGCTCGCCCTGGCCAATAAGGCGGAGAGTGTGGTGTCCGTCACCAGTCAGTGTAGCTTCAGCTCCACCATCGTCCATGTGGGAGACAAGAAGCCCCCGGAGTCGGGTATGGGTGTGGAATTGGGGGGCAGTGCTTGGGCTCCACCGGTCTCCCAGCTAGAGCTCCCTCCTGCCTTTCCCCTCCCCTCTAGGGCCTGATGGAGAGAAGGAGGCCTCCCTTGACCTGGGGCTTGGGGCTACTGCTTCTTGCTCTCCCCTCCCTGCCAGGCTTCTCGGCTTTGCCCTTCCCCTGTTCTGCTTCTCGTATTGTTACTGTCAGTTGAAACACAGAGTCTGGGATAGAGGGTTTGCCCTGAGGTGCTGACCACACAGGGTCTGAAGGCAAGGAAAATTGAACATCCCTGAAGGGTCTTTGGATATTGACCTTGAAAATCATGAGGGGCTGGGCATGGTGGCTCAGGCCTGTAATCCCAGCATTTTGGGAGGCTGAGGTAGGAGGATCACCTGAGATCAGGAGCTCGAGATCAGCCTGGGCAACATGGTGAAACCCTGTATCTACTAAAAATGCAAAAATTAGCCGGGCGTGGTGGCGCGCGCCTGTAGTCCCAGCTACTCGGGAGGCTGGGACAGGAGAATCGCTTGAACCCAGGGGGTGGTGGTTGCAGTGAGCTGAGATCGCACCACTGCACTCCAGCTTGGGAGAAAGAGTGAGACTCCATGTCAAAAAAAAAAAAAAAAAGAAACAAGAAAATGTGTGAGGGAAGGCCAAGGGGTGGGCTTCTCTTCCAATGAGAGTTGTGACGGGGTCATCCCAGTAGAGTTCCTGGCAGGGAGTGGCCACTGGAGGGGCCTGAGTATCGTCTCTTCTTCTGGGCCAGCTTTGCATGGAGAGGAGGACCCAGGGCCAGCCGTTGGCAGAGAGGTGACCAAGAAACGTACATGGAGACCAGGCTTGGCTGTGGGGCAGAGCTGCCAGGGGTTGGCTAGGCTATCAGACAGGGAGGGTGTGGTATGGATGTGTTGACCCCTGAAGTGGTTCTGATGACCTTTCCCTATCTCACTCTCCTCAGACATCATCATGATGGAGGACCTGCCTGGCCTAGCCCCAGGCCCAGCCCCCAGCCCAGCCCCCAGCCCCACAGTAGCCCCTGACCCAGCCCCAGACGCCTACCGTCCAGTGGGGCTGACCAAGGCCGTGCTGTCCCTGCACACACAGAAGGAAGAGCAAGCCTTCCTCAGCCGCTTCCGAGACCTGGGCAGGCTGCGTGGACTCGACAGCTCTTCCACAGCTCCCTCAGCCCTTGGCGAGCGAGGTAGCCACCTGGGGCCTCCTGGAGCCTGCCCTCTGCCCAGTCTAGGACTGGATTGTTGGGGGGTGGGTCTTAAGGGAGGTGTTTCTGCTCCAGGGACCCAGGCTGGTGTTGCTTCCACCACTAGGCCCTGCCTAGGGACAGGCCCCTCGCTAGCTTCTCCCCACTAGGATGGGGTTCCGGGCTGCAGCCAGAGGAGGGCAGCCTGGGGGGATGGCACTGGGATGGGCAGGCAGAGGTGCTGTCTCCAGGTAAGCGACTTCAGGCCTAGCCTGGGGGCAGGGGCAGGAAGTATGCCCACTTAGGAGTCAGTTGTCACTGATGAAGAGACATGCATAGATTCTGGGCCAACTCTGGGTGGGGTCTGGGCTTCAAGGGCAGGTGGAAGGCAGCCCCTCCAGGTGCCTGAGGGAGATCCCCTGCAGGCAGACGCAGGACTCAGGACTGGGCTTTCCAGCCCCACTCTTCACTCCATTGCAAGCTAGGCAGAATACGGCCTCGATGGGCAGGAGGAATGCCTAGGCTGGCAGTGCCCACAGGAGTTTGGCGGACCAGAGCCATCTGTCCATGTGTCCATGGACTCACCCTGCTTCCTCCATCTGCCAGCATGCCTCCATCTTCCGCACACCCCCAGCTCGACCCCTCGTGTAACCTCTCCCTGGCCTTGTTCCTTTCTCAATAAATCCCCTTGTCCCTGGCTCCTGTGATTCTTCCCTGAAGGTGCCCCACCTCCTGAGTCCCCCGTTCTGTGTGGGTTGAGAAGCTCTCTCTGGGACCTTGGCCTGTCCTCTCCCTGGTCAGCGTGTCAGGGCAGTGTGGGTAGCAGGGGTACTAACCCCAGGTTGAGGTCCTTGCTAACCCTAGTCTCTCCCCACAGGCTGCCACCACGGCCCCGCACCCCCAAGCCGCCGACACCACTGCCGATCCAAAGCCAAGCGCTCACGCCACCACCAGAACCCTCGGGCTGAAGCGCCCTGCTATGTCTCACACCCCTCACCCGTGCCACCCTCCACCCCCTGGCCCACCCCACCAGCCACTACCCCCTTCCCAGCGGTTGTCCAGCCCTACCCTCTCCCAGTGTTCTCTCCTCGAGGAGGCCCCCAGCCTCTTCCCCCTGCTCCCACATCTGTGCCCCCAGCTGCTTTCCCCGCCCCTTTGGTGACCCCAATGGTGGCCTTGGTGCTCCCTAACTATCTGTTCCCAACCCCATCCAGCTATCCTTATGGGGCACTCCAGACCCCTGCTGAAGGGCCTCCCACTCCTGCCTCGCACTCCCCTTCTCCATCCTTGCCCGCCCTCGCCCCGAGTCCTCCTCACCGCCCGGACTCTCCACTGTTCAACTCGAGATGCAGCTCTCCACTCCAGCTCAATCTGCTGCAGCTGGAGGAGCTCCCCCGTGCTGAGGGGGCTGCTGTTGCAGGAGGCCCTGGGAGCAGTGCCGGGCCCCCACCTCCCAGTGCGGAGGCTGCTGAGCCAGAGGCCAGACTGGTGAGCACTGACCCCTGCGTCTGCCTGCCAGCCCCCACCCCAGCCCCGCCCCTCTGCCACCCTGTGCTGCCTGCTGTCTCTGCCAGGCTGGCGTCTCAGCCTCCAGGAGGTGGAGGGAGTCCCCAGCTGAATTTCTGAATGAGGCAGAAATTGGCTACCTCCTCTTTGAAGGGACAGTCCTGTCTGTCTGACAGGTGGTGAGGACATCTCAATAACTTCTGAGAGAGCATCTGTCACTTGGAAAGGGTCTGGCCTCACATCCCCACTCTTCGCCAGCTTTCTTCTCTCTCAGCCTGGCCCTACTGTCACGAAGTGGGGAGCAGAGACCACTGGGGTTGGATGTGCCTCTCCCCACAACCAGTAAGAGCAGTTGAAGGGAGGCCTAGGTGCTGACCCCTCCATCCCTCCTTGCCCCCCTCCCCTCCTCCAGGCGGAGGTCACTGAGTCCTCCAATCAGGACGCACTTTCCGGCTCCAGTGACCTGCTCGAACTTCTGCTGCAAGAGGACTCGCGCTCCGGCACAGGCTCCGCAGCCTCGGGCTCCTTGGGCTCTGGCTTGGGCTCTGGGTCTGGTTCAGGCTCCCATGAAGGGGGCAGCACCTCAGCCAGCATCACTCGTGAGTACCCCGCCTCCAGCATCTCCCAGGGTAGGGCAGTGATTGGGGAGCCGGGAGCCCAGGCCCCGTCTTGGCGGAGCTTCCTAAGGCCACTGGGATGGACATGTGGCCTTTGAGGGAGGCCTTGTGAGGTCCCAGGAGTGGGCATGCAGCCGGCCTGACTCCCATTGGTCTGCCCCCCACTTCACAGGCAGCAGCCAGAGCAGCCACACAAGCAAATACTTTGGCAGCATCGACTCTTCCGAGGCTGAGGCTGGGGCTGCTCGGGGCGGGGCTGAGCCTGGGGACCAGGTGATTAAGTACGTGCTCCAGGATCCCATTTGGCTGCTCATGGCCAATGCTGACCAGCGCGTCATGATGACCTACCAGGTGCCCTCCAGGTGAGGCATTTCAGAGGCCTTCTTGGCCTTCCTTTCAGAGGTAGTAGTGGGGGCAGTTTTCTTTTCTGGGGCTGGCTCTGCCCTGGATAGGATAAACGTTTCTATCTTTCTTCCTGCTCCTTGGAGCCCTGTTACTAGTTCCTCCCAGGAGGAGAGCAGGTTTCCTGGTCTTGGAAGCCTTGACCTCGCATAGCACTAGTTTAGGGGAGGAGCATGAGGTGGGAAGCTGTGGTAGAGGAAGGATGCCAGCTTCATGGGTCCTGGTCCGGGTCCTGGATCCCAGCCTCTGCCTTCTGAACCCCTTCTTGGGCAGGGACATGACCTCTGTGCTGAAGCAGGATCGGGAGCGGCTCCGAGCCATGCAGAAGCAGCAGCCTCGGTTTTCTGAGGACCAGCGGCGGGAACTGGGTGCTGTGCACTCCTGGGTCCGGAAGGGCCAACTGCCTCGGGCTCTTGATGTGATGGTGAGAGAAGCCTGGGACGGGGAGAAAAAAGAATTGAGCTCAAGTTCAAGGGGGAGAAAAAAGAATTGAGCTCAAGTTCAAGGGGGAGAAAAAAGAATTGAGCTCAAGTTCAAGGGATCGAGGCCAAGAGCTGATCTCCTTGATGTCCTTGGATCATTAATTCTGAAGAATGTTGATTCCACTAAATTTGCTGTGGATTATAGAATATTAAGCCGCGTGAGTCTTTGCAGAACTTTTCACAGCCTATCCTATGCTAATATGCATTGTGACTGTCCTGTAACGGCATCTGGGTAGAGGGCACAAGGCACTGTCCAACCTTGTTGGACCGCAGGTGCATCTGTGTGGACTGGTGCTTCTTGGGAGTACATTTCGGGAAGCACAGTGGGCTGGGGGTGGGAAGCTGCGCTGGCAGGTTAGCAGTGAGAACCCTGTCTGACTCTCTCATGTCCATTTCTCTCACCAAGGCCTGTGTGGACTGTGGGAGCAGCACCCAAGATCCTGGTCACCCTGATGACCCACTCTTCTCAGAGCTGGATGGACTGGGGCTGGAGCCCATGGAAGAGGGTGGAGGCGAGCAGGGCAGCAGCGGTGGCGGCAGTGGTGAGGGAGAGGGCTGCGAGGAGGCCCAAGGCGGGGCCAAGGCTTCAAGCTCTCAGGACTTGGCTATGGAGGAGGAGGAAGAAGGCAGGAGCTCATCCAGTCCAGCCTTACCTACAGCAGGAAACTGCACCAGCTAGACTCCATTCTGGGACCATCTCCAGGAGTCCATGAGAGGCTTTCTTCTCCTATGTCCCAATTCTCAGAACTCAGATGTGGCTAGACCAACCAGTGGGAAACTGCCCCAGCTTCTCCCACCATAGGGGGCCGGACCCCCATCACCAGCCTAGGATCCAGGGGCTGCCTCTGGCCTCTTAGGGAGCAGAGAGCAGAACTCCGCAGCCCAGCCCAGAGGAGTGTCACCTCCCACCTTTGGAGAGGAATCCTTCCCTCCCCTGGACAAAGTTGCTGACAAGCTGCTGAAGTGGCCTCTCCATATTCCAGCTGAGCCTGAATCTGACTCTTGAGGGTTGGGGCTGCACTTATTTATTGCGGGGAGACAGCTCTCTCTCCCACCTCCTCCCCAGATGGGAGGAGAGCCTGAGGCCCAAGCAGGACCCGGGGGTTCCAGCCCCTAGCTGCTCTGGAGTGGGGGAGGTTGGTGGACCATGGAGTCCCTGGTGCTGCCCCTCAGGTGGGACCCAGGCGTTCTCAGCTGTACCCTCTGCCGATGGCATTTGTGTTTTTGATATTTGTGTCTGTTACTACTTTTTTAATACAAAAAGATAAAAACGCCCAGGACTTTGTGGAATGAAGTTTGGGGTTGGGGTGAGGGGAGCATGTCAAGGGGAGATGTGGCCCTGCTTTTGGGAAGGTTGTAGTGAGGGTGTACAGGGCCATCTCCTGACGACCCCCATTCCTCTTTTCCCCCATCCTGTCCAGGTGAGGGCCCTGCTGAGCCCGCTACGTCCACGTCCAGCTCAGACTCTGCTGTCCCCTCTAGCATGGCCTCAGCTGGGTTTGCCCTGGGAAGGAGAGCTGAGAGGTGCGTGTGGCCAAGGGCTTGGGTAAGCTCCAGCCCGGGTCACGGGTGGCCAAGGCAGAGGAACCCTGCTTAACTCCGTGGTGCCCTGAGGTATTCGAGGGTGTTTGTCTTCCTTGGCTTCCTTTTTTTTATTTGAGACGGAATTTCGCTCTGTCACCCAGCTGGAGTGCAATGGTGCAATCTCGGCTCGCTGCAACGTCTGCCTCCCGGGTTCAAGCGATTCTCCTGCCTCAGCCTCCCGAGTAGCTGGGATTATAGGTGCCCACCACCGCGCCCGGCTAATTTTGTATTTTTAGTAGCGATGGGGTTTCACCATTTTTGGTCAGGCTGGTCGCGGACTCCTGACCTTAGGTGATCTGCCCGCCTTGGCCTCCCAAAGTGCTGGGATTACAGGCGTGAGCCACCGCGCCCGGCCTTCCTTGGCTTCTTGGT
Source organism: Homo sapiens (assembly GCF_000001405.40). NCBI lineage: Eukaryota > Metazoa > Chordata > Mammalia > Primates > Hominidae > Homo > Homo sapiens. Next base: position 8,139,790 of record NC_000017.11, on the reverse strand, counting down.
CACCACACAGAGAGGGCCCTTCAGCAGGTCAGTCTAGGTAGCTAAGGGACACATGGAGTCATGTGCTCACTCATGGTTGAGTTGGCCCCAAAGGTGTGGAAGAATGGAGAAGCAAAGCATTAACCCTTTGGCTCAGAACCTGAAAGGGAAGAGGCACCTTAGGAAGGGATGAGTCACTGAGGAACCACTGCAGGCAGTTTGCTGATTTTCACTTACTGTCACCCACTAAGAGTTGATTTATCTTGAGGAACACCTGTTTTACGCCGGCGCCGTGGCTTAGCTGGTTAAAGCGCCTGTCTAGTAAACAGGAGATCCTGGGTTCGAATCCCAGCGGTGCCTGAGTTAGCGGGGAGTGATATATTATTGCTGCAAGTACACTTCTCCACTTTCAAAGGGCCTTTCTAAGAAACATTTCTTCTAGACTCTCCCTAAGATTCTTCTTACATGCCAATCCGTCTTTGGACCTCCGTTTCCCTGCACTTTTAGTGTGTATTGGAAACTACAGATTCTCACTTCGGTTTCATGAAGTAGCCTGAAGTAGGCATCTCAGGGTCTGTCCTCAAGAGTATGGAAGACAGGGCTCGGATTTGGACCCGTTTTGTTTCCATCCTATGCTCAGGGAGGAGAGGGAGAATAGGAAGGCTGCCGCTCCAATGGGGCTGCTGACGTCTGCTGGAGGGAAGGCATGGTCTGCGCCACCGAGCAGAGGCGCACGAGCGCAGACGTCTCTAGGCGGCGCGGGTGGAGCCGGGCGGAGCCGGGCGGAGCCGGCTGGAGGCGGGCGTGTTGATAGGCAGCTATAGTTGCACAGGGCCGACAGCGCACGCGGCTGTGATGGCCGAGTGGTTAAGGCGTTGGACTCGAAATCCAATGGGGTCTCCCCGCGCAGGTTCGAATCCTGCTCACAGCGTCACTAGTTTTGGTATTTAGGTATCTCGGTCTCTGGAGAAGGAAAAAGCAGTTTGTTTTCTGGTTCTTTCCTTGGAGAATCTCCCGCGTTATTCTGAGAATCTCAGAGACTCGGCCGTCAGGGACCAGCCCGCGAGCGCCCTCTTGCGATTCTCATAGTCCTATCGACCTGCAAAAACTTTTTTACTGCGGATTTCAATTCCTAACGCCACCACACTCGGGTGGCTCCTTAGTGCTACTCAGCAATCGTTACTTTCCTCCAATTCATTCACTCTCATACTGCCCCATGAGACTGTTTCATTCCTACCCTCACCTCAAACTACGAATCCCTTCTCAGCTTTTACTTCCTGATTCACTGAGAAAATAAACCATTCCGGAGTTCCCCATCAACATTCACATCGCACCTACCTACCTACCTACCTAATTGAGTCGGTGACCACGTACTCTTCTTTTCCTTCATTATTGTAGAAGAATGCTTCCACCTAAAGCCAACCCCTACTTTTACTAGATTTCCCATCCCTCTGGCCATCTCAAAGACACTGCTTTTTCCTATACCATCAAAATTTCCCTCTCAGCCGGGCGTAGTGGCTCACGCCTGTAATCTCAACACTTTGGGAGGCTTGACGGGTGGATCACTTGAGGTCAGGAGTCCGAGACCAGTGAAACCCCAATCTCTACTAAAAATACAAAATTAGCCGGGCGTGGTGGCTGACGCACGCCTGTAATCCCAGCTACTCGGGAGGCTGAGGCAGCAGAAGCTCTTGAATCCGGGAGACGAAGGTCGCGCCATTGCACTCCAGCCTGGGCAACAATAGCAAAACTCCATCTCAAAAAAAAAAAAATCCCTCTCTACTTGATTTTTCTCTTCAGCCTACAGACACTAATTTCCCCCAATTTAGAAGCAAGACAACAAAAGCTATCTTGACCCCACACGCCTGTCCAGCTACCACTCAATTTCTCTACTCCCTTCTACAGCAAACAGAGCAAGTTATCCAATTCCATCTTCCCACTCTCCTTTGGACCCTTGCTAATCAGGTGTCCACCGCCCCCATCAAAGCTGCCCTTGTTAAGGTTGCCGAATGATCATCACATTGCTAAATCTATTGACCATTACTTCGTGGAAGCTGATACCGATGCTCACTCTTCCATTAGAAACACTCTTCGCTTGCCTTCTAGGACACTACGTCCTTCTGATATTCCTTCTACTTCATCAGCAGCTTATTCTCAGACTTCTTTGCTGTTCCTCACCTTCTGGATCTCTAAATGTTGGACTGTTCCCAAGGCTCAATTTTCCAACCTCTTCTCTATCTGTACCCACTACCTTGGTCATTTCCAGTTTCATGGCTTTAAATATCAGGTAATACATTAATACATCCCAGATTTTCATCTCCAGCTCCAGAACTCCCCCCTGAGTTACAGATGCTTATGTATTATTGCCCACATATCATCTACACTTGGAAAAAGCTAATACAGATCACAAACTTAAAATGTGCAAACCAAGGCCGGGCGCGGTGTCTCGTGCCTGTAATCCCAGCACTTTGGGAGGCCGAGGCGGGCGGCTCACCTGAGGTCGGGAGTTCGAGACTAGCCCAACCAACATGGAGAAACCCCGTCTCTACTAAAAACAGAAACTTAGCCGGGCGTGGTGGCACATGCCTGTAGTCCCAGCTACTCGGGAGGCTGAGGAAGGAGAATCACTTGAACCCGGGAGGCGGAGGTTGCGGTGAGCCGAGATCATGCCATTGCACTCCAGCCTGGGGAAAAAGAGTGAAACTCCGTCTCAAAAAAAAAAAAAAAAAAGTGCAAACCAAACGCCTAGGCTTCTTCCCCAAACCTCCTTCACCTGTGATCCTTTCATCTCAATAAATGGAAATTCCATTCCTTCAGTTATTTAGACTAAAAACCTTAGCGTCGTCCTTGATTGTTCTCTTTCTCTCCCACTCTACATCAAATGAGCCATTTCTATTTACAATATGTTAGGGTCAGGTGTGGTGGCTCACACGTGTAATCCCAGCGCTTTGGGTGGCCAAGGCAGGAGGATCTCTTGCGTCCAGGAGTTCAGGACCAGCCTGAGCAACATAACAAGACCCCAGTCTCTGTGAAGATTAAAAAAAAAAAAAAATTAGCTGAGCATGCTTGTTATCCCAGCTATTTGGGAGGCTGAAGAGGGAGTATCACTTGAGCCCGGGAGGTTGAGGCTGCAGTGAGCAGTGATTACACCACTGAACTCTAGCCTGGGTGATGGAATGAGACCCTGTCTCAAACAAAAAAAGAAAAAAGTCTAACATTTGACTATTTGCCATTACACCATGGTCCAAGCCACCCTCATCTCTCACCTAGATTATTGCAATACCCCCTAAGTTATTTCCTGGCTAGTTCCAGAGTCTACTTTTTTTTTTTTTTTTTTTGAACAGGGTCTTGCTCTGCCTCCAAGACTGGAGTGCAGTGGCGTGATCTGGGCTCACTGCAGCCTCCTGAGTTCAAGTGATTCTCATACCTCAGCCTCCCAAGTAGCTGGGACTACAGGTGTGCACCACCACGCCCAGCTAAATTTTGTATTTTTAGTAGAAATGGGGTTTTACCATGTTGCCCAGGCTGGTCTCGAACTCTTGACCTCAAGTGATCCATACCCCCCCACCCAGCCTCCCAAAGTGCTGGGATTACAGGTGTGAGCCACCACGCCTGGCCTCTACTCTCTTTTTTTTTTTTTTTTTTTTTTTTTTGAGACGGAGTCTGGCTCTGTCACCCAGGCTGGAGTGCAGTGGCACGATCTCGGCTCACTGCATGGCTCTGCCTCCCAGGTTCAAGCGATTCTCCTGCCTCAGCTGCCTAAGTAGCTGGGACTATAGGCGCGCACCACCATGCCCGGCTAATTTTTGTATTTTTAGTAGAGACGGGGTTTCGCCATGTTGGCCAGGATGGTCTTGATCTCTTGACCTCTTGATCCACCCGCCTCGGCCCCCCAAAGTGCTGGGATTACAGGCGTGAGCCACCGCTCCTGGCTGGCCTCTACTCTTAATATATTGGGTAGATTGATCCTTTTAAAACATAAATCAGGGACCAGGCGCGGTGGCTGACACCTGTAATCCCAGCACCTGGGAGGCCAAGGCGGGTGGATGACCAGCCTGGTCAATATGGTGAAACCCTATCTCTACCAAAAATACAAAAATTAGCCGGGCATGGTGGCGTGCACCTATAGTCCCAGCTACTCGGGAGGCTGAGGCAGACGAATCGCTTGAACCTGGGAGGCGGAGGTTGCAGTGAGCTGAGATCATGCCACTGCACTCCAGCCTGGGCGACAGAGTGAGACTCCGTCTCAGAAATAAACAAACAAACAAGAAAAGAAACATAAATCGGATTCTGTCATTTCTCTTTGAAGTCTTCTAATGGAGGTATCAATATGAATTCATTGTTTTTATGTGTACAGATACAGGAATAAATATAATAAATATATACACATACACAACATATACACATACACATATTTCCTAGCTCTGTCCACTGAGTGAGCCTAGAAACAATGATATCCCATACTAAATGCCCAGATCTTGGTTACTAAATGCCATTCTGTGCTAAAATGAAACAGGACTCCTTAGAGACGAGGCTGATTCCAGGACTGGGGCTGAAGAATTACAAGATGATCTTGGAACATTTTGTTGCACCAGAATGTAAAGAAATGCTCAAAGAATATTGGGTATGTATATCAAAAAAGACAGCAGCTAGGGTCTACAGCCAAAGGGGCTCCCATTGGCTAAATCTGGGACAATTTGAGCATTAAAATAAAGATTGTGATGGATTCTAATAAATGAATAAAATAAAAACCCAAAAGTAATACTGATATAAATAAATAAAGTGCAGTGGCTCATGCCTGTGCAAATCCTGGAGTTTTGGAGGACTGATTGAGCCCAGGAGTTCTAGACTAGCCTGGGCAACGTAGTGAGATCCCCATCTCTACAAAAAATAAAAAAATTAGCCAGGCCTTTCGGTGTACACCCATAATCCTAGCTACTTGGGAGATTGAGGAGGATCACTTGAGCCCAACAGTTCAAGGCTGCAGTGAGCTATGATGGCACCACTGCACTCCAGCCTAGGCAACAGAGCGAGTCCCTGTCTCAAAAAATGAATAAATAAATAAATAAATATTCTTACATATTGCCACCTCAGGGCTTTTGTGCTAGCAGTTCCCTCTGCCTGAAATGTTCTTCCCCAGTTATCCCATAACCTGCCCAGTCATCACTTAGATTTCGCCTTCTCAATGAATCCTTCGCTGATCGTCCCTGATGACATCTAAAATTACAATTCTCACTCTCCACTCCCCTTCTCTGATTGATTTTTTTCTTTTCTTTTCTTTCTTTTTTTTTTTTTGAGATGAAATCTAGCTCTGTCTCTCAGGATAGAGTGGAGTGGCCAGAACTTGGCTCACTGCAACCTCCGCCTCCCGGGTTCCAGTGATTCTCCTGCTTTAGCCTCGCGAGTAGCTGGGACTACAGGCATGCGCCACCACGCCCGGCTACTTTTTGTATTTTTACTAGAGACGGGGATTCACTATGTTGGCCAGGCTGGTCTCGAACTCCTGCCCTCAGGTGATCTGCCAGCCTCGGCCTCCCAAAGTGCTGGGATTACATGCGTGAGCCACTGCACCCCACCCAAGCTTAATTTATTTCTATAGCACCATCTAACAAATGATTTGCTTTGTATAATGTACATTGACTGTTTCCCCTAAAAGAATGTATGACTCATAAGGGCAGAGATCATTGTCTGTTTCTTTTGGGGCTATATCCCCAGGGCCTAGGACAGATCGAGGCCCACAGTATGCACCCTATAAATATGTGCTGAAGAATAAAGGAGGTTCAGGGATCCAGACCTTTTGTGTTTGTGGGGCTTTAAGTTCCTCAAGTGGTTTCACTGCCCTGTTTTCTCTGCCTGGGTCTGTGCTGCCCCTTCTCTTTTCTTTGATTTTGCCACCCAAGGCAAGCTGAGCGGGGCAAGACCTTAAGTTTGCCTTGCGGGCCTGGAGAGCGTCTATCCTGGTCTTTCCTTGGCCCAGGGTCCTGGTCCTCTTACTTCCCAACCCCCAATCCCCCAGGACCCAACCCTCCAGGAACTCCCTCTACCCAGGGCCCAGGGGCTCCCAGGAAACCAGCCTTCCTTTTGAAGAACTGAAGAGGGAGGAGCTAAGTCTTGGAAATCAGGACTGGGGAGACTTCACAATGAGGGAGGGGAGGCTGGGATGCTCTACCGGCTACTCCGTTCCTTCCCCACCCCCTGCGTTCCTTAAGCCCAGCGCACGTGGGACACGAGCTCCCCTCCCCCAAGCCCCAGTGTGGCCCACTGTTGAAAGGGCAGCCAGGAAGAGGCTGGAGGCTCAGACGTCCACACACACGCCATTAGGCCACGGTATAAATGGACACAGCCACAAACTGTGTCAGGCCCACGCTGACACAGAGGCGTGCAACCACACGGAGACCCCCACTGACACTCTGTGACACAGATACGCTGGGGATAGGAGTGGGAGAACATCTTCATAGGCCACATCTGCACTGGACCAACGAGCTCCAGAAAATTACCCAGACCTAGGTCCAGGAGTCTGAAGCTTAAATGATTTAGAAGGGGGAGGTGTGGAGGGAAACAACTATTTAAGTGTTTAAGGAAAAATATGGCCAGGTGTTGTGGCACAGGCCTAGAATCCCAGCGCTTTGGGAAGCCAAGGCCAGAGGATCGCTTGAGGCCAAGAGTTTGAGACCACCCTGGGCAACATATTGAGACCCTCATCTCAAAAAAGAAAAAGAAAAAAAAAAAGGGAAAAAGTACAAAATTAGGTACAAAAAGTAATATTTAGAGTGAAATGAGAGATGGCAACAACTTACAAATTTTAAAAGGTGACAAAGGCCGGGAGCGGTGGCTCATGCTTGTAATCCCAGCACTTTGGGAGGCTGAGGCGGGCGGATCATGAGGTCAGGAGTTCGAGACCAGCCTGACCAACATGGTGAAACTCCATCTCTACTACAAATACAAAAATTAGCTGGGCGTGGTGGCATGCGCCTATAATCCCAGCTACTCAGGAGGCTGAGGCAGGAGAATCGCTTGAACCCAGGAGGCGGAGGTTGCAGTGAGCCAAGATGGCGCCATTGCTCTCCAGTCTGGGCGACAGAGCAAGACTCCGTCTCAAAAATAAATAAGTAAAAATAAAATAAAATAAAAGGCAAAAATTTCACACTGTCCAGAAAAATAACTTAACAGTTTTAATTTTTTTTCTTTGAGACAAGGTCTCACTCCTGTTGCCCAGGCTGGAGTGCAGTGGCACAATTACAGCTCACTGCAGCCTCGACTTCCCCAGCTCGGGTGATTCTCTCACCTCAGCCTTCCAAGTAGCTGAAACAGGAACAGGCCACCATACCTGGCTAATTTTTTTTTTTTTTTGTATTTTTAGCAGAGATAGGTTTCACCGTGTTGCCCAGGCTGGTCTCAAACTCCTGGACTCAAGCAGTCCACCTGCCTTGACCTCCCAAAGTGCTGGGATTCATATGTGAGCCACTGCACCCAGCCAGCTATTTGTAGTACTTACTGCCCACACACCTCTATAGCACTTTCCATAGACTAGCTGCTAACTCTCTATATTTCAAATCTTGTTTCTCCTCTACCACCCATGACTCATAATGTCAAGAGCCATCAGACATTCATATCACATGTGTCTCTGGCCCTGCACACTTCCAGCACGAAGCCTAGTGACTGGGCAAAGGAAATAGGAGTATCCCTGGAAGCCATTCCTACCCTAGATGAGGAGGCTAACTTAACTCAATATTGGCTGAGAACCGTGGCTCATGCCTGTAATCCTAGTACTTTAGGAGGCCAAGATGGGAGGATCACTTGAGACAAGCCTGGGCAACATAGTGAGACCCCAGTCTCACAAAAAATTAAAATTAAAAAAAAAAAATACCTGGGTGTGGTGGTGCATATCTGTTGTTCCAGCTACTCCAGAGGCTGATGTAGGGGGATTGCTTGAGCCCTGGAGGTTGAGGCTGCAGTCCCACCACTGCACTTCAGCCTGGGGGACAGACAGATCAAGACACCCTGTCTCAAAAACAAAGCAAAACAAACAAACAAAAACACCAAAACCCCAAAACAAAAAAAACCTATATATGGAAGTGACTACAAATCATCTAAATGTATCCCACAAATCCAACTCACCTTCTCCACAGCTAGATCCCCCAAAATGCTCACAGCCAGCCACTGTAACACTGGGGATGAGTGGTGATGTGATGGACGGGCCGCAGGAGCAGCCAGAGTAGAGACTGGCCTTTGTCAGTTGCAGTGAAATGCCGAAGGTATGCACAATTTGTTTTTTTTGAGACGGAGTCTTGCTGTTGCCCAGGCTGGAGTGCAGTGGCATGATCTCGGCTCACCGCAACCTCCACCTCCCGGGTTCAAGCAATTCTCCTGCCTCAGCCTCCCGAGAAGCTGGGATTACAGGCACCACCACCATGCTCGGCTAATTTTTTTTTTTTTTTTTTGAGATCTGCCCACCTCAGCCTCCCAAAGTGCTGGGATTACAGGTGTGAGCCACTGTGCCCGGCCTCCCTTATTATTTTTAATTGACAAATAATTATATGTATTTATGGGGTAAAATGTGATGTTTCCATATAAGGATACATTGTAGAACGATTAAATCAAGCTAATTAACACATCCGTCACCTCATCTACTTATTTTTTCGTGGTGAGAACATTTAAAATAGACTTTTGAGACTCTGTCTCAAAAAAAGAAAAAAGAAAAAGGAAAAAATTACTTATTCTTGTTGGATACAGGTTAAAAAAAGAAAAAAGTGTTCATTCACTTATTATTATTATTATTTTTGAGATGGAGTCTTGCTCTGTTGCCCAGGCTAGCATGCAGCAGCGCTATCTCAGCTCACTGCAAGCTCCGCATCCGGGGTTCACACCATTCTCCTGCCTCAGCCTCCCGAGTAGCTGGGATCACAGGTGCCTGCCACCATGCCTGGCTAATCTTTTTTGTATTTTTAGTAGAGACGGGGTTTCACCGTGTTAGCCAGGATGGTCTCGATCTCCTGACTTCCTGATCTGCCCACCTCACCCTCCCAAAGTGCTGGGATTACAGGTGTGAGCCCCTGAGCCCGGCCTCACTTATTATTTTTAATTGACAAATAATTATATATATTTATGGGGTAAAATGTGATGTTTCCATATAAGGATACATTGTAGAATGATTAAATCAAGCTAATTAACACATCCATCACCTCATCTATTTATTTTTTCGTGGTGAGAACATTTAAAATAGACTTTTAATAATTTCATAATATACAATACGTTATTACTAACCATGCTGTGGAATAGATAGCAAAATCTCCTTCTTCATACACCCTCTTTTCTGGATTTCCAGAACACCCCACTCCCCCTGGTTTTCCTGTTGCCTCTCTGACCGCTCTAGTCTCCGTTGCCAATTCTTCCTCCTCAACCAATCTCTAGGTGTTGGGGTGCCCCAGAGGTCCATGTTCAGCCTTTTCTTTTCTTCTTCTTCTTTTTTCTTTTTTTTTTGTTTGAGACAGATTCTCATGCCCAGGCTGGAGTGCAGTGGCTCAATCTCGGCTGACTGCAACCTTGGCCTCCCGGGCTCAAACGATTCTCCTGCCTCAGCCTCCTGAGTAGCTGGGACTACAGGCGTGCGTCACTATGCCCAGATAATTTTTCTATTTTTTGTGGAGACGGGGTTTTGTCATGTTGGGCAGGCTGGCCTCGAACTCCTGACCTTAGGTGATCCACCCGCCTCAGCCTCCCAAAGTGCTAAGATTACAGGCATGAGCCAACACACCCGGCCCATGTTCAGTCTTTTCCCGCCACATTTTCTCTCTAGGTGCTCCAGTCTTATAGCATTAAAAGACGTCTATCTCCCAATCACTCCAGCGTATTTACCCTCCAGCTCTGATCTCCAAACTTGTATATCCCTAACCTATGTGTGACCTCCACCTAGATATCTTTTTTTTGAGCGGAGTCTTCCTCTGTTGCCGAGGCTGGAGTGCAATAGCGCAGTCTAGGCTCACTGCAACCTCTGCCTCCCGGGTTCAAGAGATTCTCCTGCCTCAGCCTCTGGAGTAGCTGAGACCACAGGCGCATGCCACCATACCCAGCTAGTTTTTGTATTTTTAGTAGAGACGGTGTTTCACCATGTTGGCCAGGTTGATCTCAAACCCCTGACCTCGTGATCCACCCGCCTTGGCCTCCCAAAGTGCTGGGATTACAGAAGTGAGCCACCGCGCCTGGCCAGGATGTCTTAACTAATATGGCTAAAGTATAATGCTTGATTTCTCTTCCTAAACCTCTCCCCGACCCCACAGGTTTTCCCATCTCAGTTAAAAGCCACCACCACCGTCTACCCAGTTACAGTCATGCGCTGCATAACAATGTTTTGGTCAATGATGGACTGCATATATATATATATGATTATAATGGGGATTGCCGGATGCAATGGCGTACGCCTGTAATCCCAGCACTTTGGGAGGCCAAGGCGGGCAGATCACTTGAGGTCAGGAGTTCAATACCAGCCTGGCCAACATGGTGAAACCCTGTTTCTACTAAAAATACAAAAATTAGCCGGGCGTGGTGGCTAATGCCTGTAATCCCAGATATTCGAGCAGCTATTCGAGAGGCTGAGGCAGGAGAATCGCTTGAACCCGGGAGGCAGAGGTTGCAGTGAGCCGAGATCCCACCATTGCACTCCGTCCTGGGCAACAAGAGCAAGATTATAATGGGGCTAAAAAAAAATCCTTATCGCCAGGCTCGGTGATAAGCACTTCGGGAGGCCGAGGCTGGCAGATAACGAGGTCAGGAGATCGAGACCAGCCTGAGCAACATGGTGAAACCCCGTCTCTACTAAAAATACAAAAGTTAGTGGGGTGTGGTGGCACAGGCCTGTAATCCCAGCTACTCGGGAGCCTGAGGCAGGAGAATCGCTTGAACCCGGCAGGCGGAGGTTGCAGTGAGCCGGGATCGCCCCACTGCACTCCAGCCTGGGCAACTGAGTGAGACTCTGCCTCAAAACAAAAAGGAAAAAAAAACCCGAAAAATTCCTATCACCCAAAGATGGCATAGCTATCATAACATTGTAGTGCCATGCGTTACCTTTTAGGTACACAAATGCTTACAATTGTGTACAATTGCCTCCAGCATTCAGTACAGTACCATGCTGTAGCTGTACAGGTTTGCAGCCTAGGAGCACAATAGGCTGTATAGTGTAGCCTAGGTGTGTAGAAGGCTCTACCATCTAGGTTTACATCACTACACTCTGTGATGTCTGAATAATGAAATTGCCTAGCAACGCATTTCTTTGAATATATCCGCACGTTAAGCAAATACATGATCTTACCTAAGACAAAGACCTAGGAGTAACCCCTTCATGTTTTCTCTCCCCACCACCACCTCAAGGCATTGCCTAAAAGACTGCTTCAGCCCCCTGAATGAGCCCTCTGCCTTCATTCTCCAAATAGCAACAAAAGCGATCTTTTAATTTTATCTATCTATCTATCTATCTATCTATCTATCTATCTATCTATCTATCTATCTAGAGTCTCGCTCTGTCGCCCAGGCTGTAGAGCAGTGGCGCGATCTTGGCTCACTGCAGCCTCCCCTCTCAGGCGCGGACCATCACCCCTGGCTAATTTTTTTTTCTTTTTTCTTTTTTATTTCATTGAGACAGAGTCTGGGTCTGTTGGCCAGGCGAGAGTGCAGTGGTGCGATTACGGCTTACTGCAACCTCGCCTCCCGGGTTCAAGCGATTCTCCTGCCTCAGCCTCCCAAGTAGCTGGGATTACAGGCCCACGCCATCACTCCCGGCTAATTTTTGTATTTTTAATAGAGACAGGGTTTCGCCATGTTGGCCAGGCTGGTCTCGAACTCCTGGGCTCAAGCGATCCGCCTGACTCAGCCACCCAAAGTGCTGGGATTACAGGCGTGAGCCACAGCGTCCGGTCCAAAGTGATCTTATTAATTATTATTATTATTTTGAGACGGAGTCTCGCTCTGTTACCCAGGCTGGAGTGCAGTGGCGCGATCTCGGCTCACTGCAAACTCCGCCTCCCGGGTTCAAGCGATTCTCCTGCCTCAGCCTCTAGAGTAGCTGGGATTACAGGCGTGTGCCACCACGCCCGGCTAATTTTTGTATTTTTAGTACAGACGGGGTTTCCCATGTTGGCAGGCTGGTCTCGAACTCCTGACCTCAGGTGATCCACCTGCCTCGGCCTCCCAAAGTGCGGGGATTACAGGCGTGAGCCACCGCGCCTGGCCCCAAAGTGATCTTTTAAAACATCAGTCAGAGAATATAACTTTGCTGATGAAAATCCCCCACTGGCTTCCAATTGCCGTTATAATCCAAATTCCTTCAATACTCTCCAAGATCCTGTGGGATGGGCTACGCCTGACTCTCTAATCTGATCTCTGCCACTCTGCAAATCCTCCATCCCGAGTTCGCCGGACCTCTTTCTCCAGCTCCCACCAGCAAATAGCTCTCCTGCCTCAGAGCCTGTACTTGCAGATCCTTTTGCCTGGACTCAAGGCTGCTGACTACGCTGGCATCAAATATCACTTCTTCATAGAGGCTGTCTCTTACCACCCAGAGTAAAGTAGCCCTTCACTTTCAAGTCATCGCCATGACCTTTTTGTTGTTGTTGTTGTTGTTTTCTTCCCACAGCCTTATAACCATCTGAAGCTATCTTATGTTATTTTTTGCTTTCGTAGTTATTGTCTGTCTTTCCCTCTGTAATATAAGCTTCAGGAAAGCCCAGACCCAATGTACTCCTTACAGTACTCGGCACACAGGAGGCACCCCATAAATATGGGCTGACCGAATAAATCCAGCAGCTGCGCACACAGGCATATAGATAGATGCACTTTTTTTTTTTAACAGTTTCCTTCTGGAGGCCACGGTTACTACTTAGCGCTAAGAACAGAGCATTGGCAGTCACAGATACAATCCGAGGACGAGACAGAGACCCAGACCCTGGCGCAAATAAAACAGGTTGAAAGAAACGGGAGGGACAGCTCCAGGGTGAATTCCAGAGACAGAGACCCAGATAGACTAAGGCCGAGACCCAGATTCACTCAGCGAACCTGAGCCCCGAGCCCACAGGCCCCGGCAGCGACCGCGGACAGAGCCAGGAGGAGGCGAGCGGTGGGAGGCGGAGCGCGCCGGAAGGGAGCGGACCGCGGGGAGCCCCGCCGCCCCGCCCAGCCGGCCCGCCCCGCCCCGCTCACAAGTGGTCGCCGCAGGTGGCTGTGCGCCCACCCGCCCGCCCTCGGGCCGACGCGTGCGGGATCAAAGCGGCCGGGAAGGGGCGGGGAGGGGAGGTGGCAGGAACCTGGAAGTGTCAGCGAGCTTCCCAGGGGATGGCAGGAGCGTGGGAGCGCAGAGTCCCGGGAGGCGACAGAGACTCGGAGAGACGACGAGATACCAGAGACCCGAGAGAGCCAGAGGCGGAGATGCAGACGCCAAGACGCGGAGAGACGCGGAATCAGAGATGCGGAGGGAGGAGACCACCAACACCAGAGAGACCCAGGGCAGAAGTCGCTGAAGATCTGGAAAAAACGTGAGAGATACAGAGATGGAGGAGCTAAGAGACACTCAGAGACCCGGAAAGGAGGCGAGACAAAAAAGGCATAGACCCATAGACTTAAGAAAAGAAAGCGTGCTTCAGAGAGAACGGAAAATAACAGAGGAAGAGAGGTGGAAAGAACAAGGGATGTAGAGTGGGGGGCGGGGAGACCTGGCCCTTCCCCCGCGGGGGGCCGAGATCCGAGCACTGTGTCCTTTCTCAGGGTCACGCCTGCGGAGGTGCGGGCCGGGGACGGAGGGAGGGGGGTGTGGAGGCTGCAGGACCCCCATGCTGGGAGGAGGGGAGTGCGAGGGCGTGCGGAATCGTTTAGGCCTGGGGCTGCAAACTCTGCTATAGTCAAAAGGTTAAGATTAATATTTGGTAGAAATATTTAAGTGAAGATGTTTCTTAGAAATGCTACCAAATATATTATCCTTTTTTTGGAGGGGAGAAAAGAAAACTGTACTCGTGCATTGGCCGGGAATCGAACCCGGGCCTCCCGCGTGGCAGGCGAGAATTCTACCACTGAACCACCAATGCGCGGCTTAAAGATTCTGCGGGGATCCTATCTGAGATTGTAAGAGGTTGAGGCGGACCCGGACAGGCAACGGTGTAGGCCAGGGAAGTGGTCCCGAATGGTTGCCGTGGGTGGAGCGCCAAGTCATCCTTCCTCTCGTCCGGATCCGGCCACCGGGCCATAAAGCCGCCCCATATGGCCAGGGGCGGCCCCACACCCGGGTGCGAACAGCCGGGGGCCCCCAGCCTCGCGTGCAGGTGAGAAAAATTCAGCCCGAGCCCAGGTTCCCAAGGAGGGGGGCGGCGGGGGCTGATGGGGACACACATTTGCGTTCCCATTTGGCTGAAGGACGGAGAGGTGGGATGTGCTGGGGGCCCTGATCCCAAATGGGAGCCCCCTCCTCAAGGTCTGTGCCTCTCCCGGCTCGGGCTATGATGGCAAGAAAGGCTTCGTGACAAAACCAAGGTGCGGAGGGCCGTTGGGAGGGCTTGAAGGAAACCCCATTGGTCTCTGATTTCACAGCTGTCTTCCGTCTCGGTCTGCAACCCTGTCTTTCCGTGTCTTTATCCCTGGCAACCTGGCTGTTCCCTTCAGTTTCTGATTTATCTTCTCAGACACTTTGTCCTGAAGCCCTCGAGTGGTCAGGCATCGTTCTGCGGAGGGTCATGCTCTTGGTTTGAGGTGGGTGTTGATCCCTTTTTTGTACCCCTTGCTTTCCCCTTAGTAAACTGCCTGCTCCCTGCTACCCTACAGTCACCAGGGGCCTCCAGAAGCAAGCAATGCGGGCACACTTGCGTGAGGTGTCCTATCAGCCACACTCCTGAATCTCCTATGACTAGTTTTGAATCAAATACTTGTACTGTAAGTGGAAAGACCTCTCCACTCATACCTATGTTTCAAAGACTTGCTCCCTCTGCCTTGAAGATCCTCCTCAGTCCAGCCATCCTTAAGGAGACCTTTTCCCGGAGCACCTACTTCACTGGGCTTCTGTAATAGCTACTTGGTGTCACATGGTCTTTTCCATTAGATCCTGCAGGGATAAGCTGGGTCTCTCCTGCGTATCTCACTATGACTCGCCCGAGCCTAGACAAGTGCCCTGTCCGCAGAGTGGGCGCGCAGATGTTCGCGGACTTGAATGTAACTGGCTTAGATAGAAGAGAGCGCCTCTCCAACCTCCCGGCAGAGCTTCGGTTGAGTCGGACAGATTCACCCAGCGCACTCGGGTTGCTCCCTGTCTCGACTAGGAAGCGAACTTCGGAGATGATGTATAAAATTCAGCCTGGGGGCTGAGAGGTGCTAACTTCTATTTCAGGGTTAGTGAGGGTACAGTAAGCCTCCCAGAAAGCTGCAATTCTGGAGGAACTCTGAATTTCATCCCCAAGCGAGCTCTGCCCCAATAGCCTCCTCCTTTCAGCTGGGTCCCGCCTCCTTATACAGCCTTACGGTCTGTAAACCAGCCAGTGCCCCCATTCACCCCTCACTTCCCGCACTCCCAGGCCAGTTTCTCTCCTTCCCCTCCCCCCTTCACTCCTCCTCTTTCCGGGAGCCTCGTGCCGGGTCCTAGAGGGGCAGAATCTGGATGTCGAAGGGGGCGGGGTCGGGTCCTATCCCTCCTACCCTTGGGCCGCGGAATATAAGGCTCCAGGCGAGCAGGGAACCGGTCCACACAGGGTCCGGAGGAGCAATGGTCACCCGGGATCGAGCTGAGAATAGGGACGGCCCCAAGGTGAGAGGCGGGAGGGGAGGGAGCAGAGGTCCCTGGTTTGGCTAGGGGACTGGGCCCCTGACGCCGTCGGTCTGGAGAGAGGCTGGGGACGCAGGGGTGGAAGGGGAGCGGTGCTCCAGAACTCCAGGAGCCAGAAGCTGGAGAGGAAGCTGCAAAATATGAAGAAGGGGACAGGGGTCAGAGCCAGACCTGAGTGGGCGGCGGGAACATAGGACTAGGGGCCTCGGTAATGGGTGTCGGCACCTTGTGGCCTGGGGAGGGGGCCGGTGTTGGAGTAAAATAAGCAATTAGAGGGCAGAGCCAAGGGAGGAGGGTGGGAACGAAAAGAGAAGAGGATAGGCACTTGCTCCACTCTGGCTGTGAGCCGGGCGGGGCTGGCCCAAGGCGGTCTTGTACAGAAGGTCCCGGGGCGTTGGTTCCAGAGGCCCCAGACTGGTGGAAGATTTTAGGAGAACCGTGGAGAAGGTGAAGGCCTGGAGGGTTTTGAGGGAAAAGAGGCGGCGCGGTCGCGCTAGGTATCTCCCTTTCTATACTCAGGGCCGCCAGGTCTGAGCCCGGCACCGTGCGGCGCACGTGCGTGCGCGCAGAGAGTCCCCAAAGTTCTCCACTGAGACAAAGAGAAACTGCACCAGACGGAGACGTAGAGAGAAAAGAGGAGGAGAGACACAGAGAGGGGAGGAGGGAGGACGAGACTGAGAGAGGAGAATGCGAAGATCCGGGGAGGCGAGCTACAGAAACTGATCTAGGGGCATTGGGAGGGGGAGCGGAGAGGGATCGAATGGGGCCGGCCCTAGGCAATCTGGGGTCTTGTGGCCGGGGTGGAAGCCGGGCTCTCCCAGCGGCGGGATCCGACGCCGGGGCGGCCGCACTGAGTCTCGGTCTGGTCGGCCCGCTCTCCTTTTCTCGCTGGTCGCAGATGCTCAAGCCGCTTGTGGAGAAGCGGCGCCGGGACCGCATCAACCGCAGCCTGGAAGAGCTGAGGCTGCTGCTGCTGGAGCGGACCCGGGACCAGGTCAGTCCCTCCGCTAGCCCTAGGTCCCCAAGCTTCCCGTTTCCGCGTCCCAGGGCTTCCCACTGGGGTGGGGACACAAGCTTGGTTGGCAACCCTGGCCCCAAGGCATCCTCACCCGAGTCCCGCCTTTGGAATTCCATCCCAGACCCCCACTCGCTCTCAGAACGCGATCTTCTTCGCCACCCCTCGGGTCTGTAAGTTTCACGCCTGGTTCTGTAAATTTCGCTCCCGGGGTCGGTCAGTTTCACCCTTTGGGTCTCTAAGTGTCCGGTTCCCCCTCCCCCACAGCCAGCCTCTGATGAGCCAGCCTCTGTTATGTCGGGTGGTTAATTTCATTCCCTGGGTTGCGGTTTCAAATCTCCTCCTCACGCGTTGGGCATTGGTTCCAACCCCTAGGATTGGACAGTTTCGTCTCAGGGTGGGCCAGGACTTTCCTTGGTCATCTCCACTCCGCATTTGGTCGCGCGTTCTGTGGGCAGTGCGCAAATGCGATCGGGGGCACCACCAGCTCCCGCATCCGTCCCTCCCTTCTTCCCCCTGCCACTTTCCCCCTTTCTCCCCACCCCTTTCTGTCTCTGCGCCCTCCCCTCCCGTCTGTAGAACCTCCGGAACCCGAAGCTGGAGAAAGCGGAGATATTGGAGTTCGCCGTGGGCTACTTGAGGGAGCGAAGCCGGGTGGAGCCCCCGGGTACAGCGCGGGGGTGGGGCAGCGGAGGGAGGGAGGGGGGACGCCAGGAGGCTCCGGCCGGGGCAGAGTGGGCGGGCCCTGCGGTGGATGGTGGGCTTGGGGAGTGGCCGGTTCTGCTCCGAGGCGAGGTTAATAACACCCGCGCGTGTCTGTCTCTGTGTCTCCCTCATTTTCTCCCTCTTTCCGTCCATCTGGCTTCCTGTCTCTGTGCGCCTGTCCGGCCTTGGTATCTCTGCGCCCCGCCCCTTCCCTCACCCCTGCCGGGCCCCTGCCCTGCCCACCTGTGCTCCCGCCGGCCGCACCAGCCGCCGCGGCTCCAGGGGTTCCCCGGTCCCCAGTCCAGGACGCCGAGGCGCTCGCCAGCTGCTACTTGTCCGGTTTCCGCGAGTGCCTGCTTCGCTTGGCGGCCTTCGCGCACGACGCCAGCCCGGCCGCCCGCGCCCAGCTCTTCTCCGCGCTGCACGGCTATCTGCGCCCCAAACCGCCCCGGCCCAAGCCGGTAGATCCGAGGCCTCCAGCGCCGCGCCCATCCCTGGACCCCGCCGCACCGGCCCTTGGCCCTGCGCTGCACCAGCGCCCCCCAGTGCACCAGGGCCACCCTAGCCCGCGCTGCGCATGGTCCCCATCCCTCTGCTCCCCGCGCGCCGGGGATTCTGGCGCGCCGGCGCCCCTCACCGGACTGCTGCCGCCGCCACCGCCGCCTCACAGACAAGACGGGGCGCCCAAGGCCCCGCTGCCCCCGCCGCCCGCTTTCTGGAGACCTTGGCCCTGAGCCTTGGGGGGTGGTGGGGGCGGGGTCTAGGGGTGGGGTAGAGACTCCAGCCCGAGGGCAGCAGAGGGACCCGGGCGTCCGGGCGAGCAGGTGTTGGGGAGGGCAGTGGGGCGCGCGGGCTCAGCGCGCGGGTGAGATGTGGTCTATATTAGAGTATCTATATAAATATATATTTCCCTGGTTCCTGTCCCTTTTCCCTGCCCCAACTTCTCCCTTGCGTCTAGGATTGTACTCTCTCTGCCCCTCAGCCCAGTCCCAGTCCCTTCCCGAGTCCCTAGTGCATGGAATAAAGTGGTTATTAAATCCCCGTGTGTCCCCGAGCCAGGGGCCTGCCTTTATCTCGACGTCCACGCCCACTTTCCCTTCCCTTCTGTCTCCCACCCTCAGTCCTGCTCTCCATGGCCCAAGCCCCGGGGCAGACAGGTAAGTAAAGAAGAGAGCAGAGCGGGAACTGAGATCGAAATTGAAACCAGGTGGAAAGAGAGAGATAGGGTAGGGGGAGAAGGGATGGGGGCCTTTAAGAAAAAAACGGATAAAAAGGAAAAATTGAAATAAAATCGACTCTGGTGGGATTCGAACCCACAACCTTTGAATTGCTCTATTCGTCACTAGAAGTCCAATGCGCTATCCATTGCGCCACAGAGCCACCCGACGAACGGCGGCGTCTTGTAGCTTACGGGTACTAGAGTGGGAATGGGGCAGGGTTGGGGAGCGGGGCTAAGGGACTTGGGCGGGACATGCCAGGAGGGCGCGGTTTGGATCTCAGAGGCCAAGCCAGGTAGAGGTAGCGGGCGCAAAGCATGTTAGCCAGGTGAGAGAGAGGGCGCACATGGGTCGAAAAAACAGGGAGGGAGAGCAACCGAAAATGGCTGAGCGAGCGAGTGCAGAGCTCCGGCTGCCCGCTTGGGGGGTGTTTCCGGCTCAGGCGCTCCCCACTCCCAGATATAGTCCCACCCAAATAAACTAGTTTTGTTGTAAATTTCTGTGTGTTTTTGTCTCTTCTCGTTTATCTGTTCTGCCATCTGCTGCTATGCGGTCCACAGTCTCGATGGTTCTTCATTTCCAGTCTAAAAGATGTGGAAAAGGAGACGAATCAATTTGGCACTCTTAAGATTTGCCCCATTCCTTACTTCTAGTCTCTTAGGAGGACAACGGGGACAGTAAGTTTTCGTGCAGGTAGCGTGGCCGAGCGGTCTAAGGCGCTGGATTTAGGCTCCAGTCTCTTCGGAGGCGTGGGTTCGAATCCCACCGCTGCCAGGCTGGAGTTTTTCTGGTGGATTACGCACCTGCTACAGTTCTGTTAACAGTTCTGTGAGGTTACACCTATTTACATGCAGAAAGTAATTTTACGAATTCCCCTGGTAATGGTTTCACCATCATCTTCCGTGTTTGGTCTTCCAGAGAGATCATAGGCCTGCATCCATCCCAGAAGCTAAGACCTGATGGTAACTGCTGAAGCAATATTTCGTTTCTTCATAACATCTCTATTATTTCGTTTCTTCATAACATCTCTATTTTAACATGTTTTCAAATGTTAGCTCAACTTCCAACATATTTAAATAATTTATTGTACGTTCTCTTAACACTGTGTTATAGGACTCAATTATCCGGTAGGAAAAGCACAAATAATTGGTAGTGTCCTAGTTTACTTTTTTTTTTTGTCGTATTATCTTGGGTCATAGGAGTATCCCCTCTGTGAAAATCAATTAACAATATTCAACATGCTGATATTAAAAGAAAAGCTTCAAGGTTCCACCGAGATTTGAACTCGGATCGCTGGATTCAGAGTCCAGAGTGCTAACCATTACACCATGGAACCTCCCTCGTGGTGTCTTTCAAGATTGTGTACATTACTGGACATTCTATTTTGCGTGTCTTCCACACCCGTCACTTAAAACGAAAACAAAACAAAGTCTGCTGTTGGATATGGTAGACACCGTTATCGAGCACTTGAAATATATGAATTCAGATGTATTGCCAGCTTCTAAATACACATCTTCTTTTGAAGGAAGGCTTTGTACAAACAAAAAGACTTAAAATTTCATTAATATTTTTAGAATGTTGATTATATGTTAAAATA
Organism: Homo sapiens; assembly: GCF_000001405.40. Classification (NCBI taxonomy): domain Eukaryota; kingdom Metazoa; phylum Chordata; class Mammalia; order Primates; family Hominidae; genus Homo; species Homo sapiens. Next base: position 8,119,490 of record NC_000017.11, on the reverse strand, counting down.
AGATTTTGGTATATTAGGGTAAGTAAAATAGATCCGTGAAATTAATTTCGCTTGCTTTTTATTCTTTGTAATGTGGCTACCAGAAAATGTAAATTCGATAATACGGCTCGCGTTTGTACTGTTTTAAAGTATGTTTATTACCCTCCACCGTCGTTTGCTGTATTTTGTGGAAATCAAGTTTCTGTATCACCTAGCTTTAAAAACTAGTAACTATTTTTGTTACCATTTTATGCGAAGTGCGGTACCCAAAAGCAAAGACATGCCGCCCGAACAGGGACTTGAACCCTGGACCCTCAGATTAAAAGTCTGATGCTCTACCGACTGAGCTATCCGGGCTCTTCACGAGAGCTTTACTTTTTGCTTATAAGAGGGTTCTCTATAGGAAAAGCCAGGCTTGTAGAACCGACAGAGGATTTTATCTGTGCAGCATAGAATATTTTGGCACAGATTTGGAAGCAGCGGGTGAAGCTCGCCTGCTGCTGATTGAGCTTTTTCTGCCTCCCGTTCTTAGAGCCCCCGCCGAGGCTGCGACGCAGGGACTGTACCATAGTAGAGGCTGGAACAGTGCGGCGCCGGAACCGGCCGCGCGGGGCCGCTGCGGGCTATGGGCTTCTCTGAGAGGTTCCTCCCCAGTCCCTAGTGGCCCAGATCCCGGACACCTGGGCTCCCGCCCAGGATCCTGCAGGCCCAGGGCGGTCCTGGAGCGGAAAGAATGCCACGCGGGGCATTCAGACCCTGTTTGCCGGCGCTGTATTTCGCTTTCCTGACCTGCCCTACTCCAGAGCAGAGAATGAGGTCGGGCGTGCCAAAGGCTGGGGACAAAGAGGGCCATGCGTGGGGGGATCGGTGTATGGGGTGACAGGGAGCTGTTCCTGACCATTTGACATGTGCTGGAATGCGTGTGCGACTCACCTGCGTGTGGCTGCAGTCACGTGTGATTTATGACCAAGTGCAACTCTCCACTGTTTAGTGATTCACACGGATGATTCACACGTAGGAATGCAGGTGCCCTGTGCTCATCTCTGCCTGGGAATGGGGAGGAACAGATCTTGGGGGACATTGGGGAGTGGGCGGACAAGCACTCCAGGGCATCAGTCCGGGCCGCTGACCAGGCGGAGGGCAGTGTCCCAATTATACAGGCGTTACCTCCTTTTCTCCATCTCAGCATCTGATCCCTCCCTCCGCAGTGGAACCCAGGCTCCTGATATCCATCTGGGTGAGCCAGCCAGAGGGACCGGCTGTGTCAGAGGCAAGCAAACAAGTATTAGAGTGCAAGACTGTGGGCGGAGAGAGGAAGCCCGAGCCGCCAGCAGGGAGCTTCGGAGAGAGAAAGCCCAGGAACATCCCAGAGAGAGCTGGGCCCATCCTCAGCCCTACCCAGCCCCGCAGCCCCTAGCCCTCCGCCCAGAAACCCAGCCCTGTCCGGCGTGCCGCTCTTCTCCTCCAGGCCGGCTGCTGCTGCGGCCAGCGTTGCCGGGGCATCCCTTCCTCCTTCCCATCATGGCAGTGTACCGCCTGTGTGTGACCACTGGTCCCTACCTGAGGGCCGGCACACTGGACAACATCTCTGTCACACTGGTGGGCACGTGTGGTGAAAGCCCCAAGCAGCGGCTAGATCGAATGGGCAGGGACTTCGCCCCTGGATCGGTGAGTACAAAGGAGACAGGGAAGCGCGACCTCAGAGGGGCAGGGGCCGCAGGCGGGAGGAGTATTCCTCCTGGACTCTTGAGATCCTGCTGAACTCAGGATACCGGCCCTGACCTCCTCACCTTCCCTATTGAGGTCCCTGTCTTTCCTGGAGATGATGAACTCCATCCAGGCAGGACTGTGGAGAGGAAGGAGCGTTGGACAGGGAGTAGAGGGACTTCCCCTGGCTCCTAAACTCCTCCCATAATTGACCGTGGGCTTTGGGCAAGTCGCTTCCCCTCTCTGAGCCTGGGTTTCCTCTTATCGAGGGGATCTGCCTGCCTCTGCCAGCCCCAGGTGGCCTCCACAAGAGTTCCCAGCCGGCCTAGGAAGCTAGTGAAATGCAGTGCCCACTGTGCTCGGGCACCTTTTTCTTTTCTTTTTGAGATGGAGTTTTGCTCTTGTTGCCCAGGCTGGAGGGCAGTGGTGTGATCTCAGGTCACTGCAACCTCCACCTCCCGGGTTTAAGCGATTCTCCTGCCTCAGCCTCCCAAGTAGCTGGGATTACAGGCGCCTGCCACGACGCCCGACTAATTTTTTGTATTTTTAGTAGAGAAGCGGTTTCATCGGGCAGGCTGGTCTCAAACTCCTGACCTCAGGTGATCCACCCGCCTCGGCCTCCCAAAGTGTTAGGATTACAGGCGTGAGCCACCTCTCCCGGCCCGGGGAAGCTTTTTCTAATTCATACAAAAGCCCGGTATGGGCTGGGAGCAGCTCAGGTTTGTATGCCCGAATAGGCTTAGGTGTAGATGCATCTTGCAAGGCGCAAGGACCGCCTTGGCAGTTCCCCGCCTCTCACCTGCTTGCTGTCTTGGTCCCCTCAGGTACAGAAGTACAAGGTGCGTTGCACAGCGGAGCTGGGTGAGCTCTTGCTGCTGCGTGTACACAAGGAGCGCTACGCTTTCTTCCGCAAGGACTCTTGGTACTGTAGCCGCATCTGTGTCACCGAACCGGATGGTAGTGTATCCCACTTCCCCTGCTATCAGTGGATTGAAGGCTACTGCACCGTGGAGCTGAGGCCAGGAACAGGTGGGCCAGAGACGAGGACTACACTGTACTGCAGAAGGTGTCCTTTGGGATTAGGAGTGGGGTCTCACAGAGCCCCAGAGTATAGGGAATAAGATTGAGGTCAGAAACTCTGGGCTCCCAAGTAGATGTTTTCTGAAAAAAGGGAGCCTCTCAAGCCCTGAAATGCGAGGGTTTTGCAGACGGTATTGACTCTTCTGGAGACTCACATAGACACATACACTCATATAGGCAGGCACCCTTCTCTCATACACATAGGAAGCACTTTGCTTTCCACAGCCTCCCTCTGCACTTCTCCAGAGTGAGTTCCTCCAGACCCCAGAGAGGAACTAACCTGCACCCTGAGTCATTAGATTTTAACAGGTAGAGAAGCCCTGGCTGCTCAGAGATTTTAGCTGGAGAGGCCCCATTCCCTCCCCTACTACTAGCTTTTCTAGTGTGGATGAGGTCCCTGAGAGGTGCTGCTAGGATTCCTTGTTGAATTTCTGGGGCCTTCTGCAGATGCTGGGCTTGAGCATCTTCAGTTTCCAGAGCTATCTGATCTGGAGAGGCAACAGTAGGGCTGCTCTGGGTGTTGGGAGGAGGCTCAGGATGAAGGAGGGATATTCTAGGTCAAAGTGAGGCAAATGAATATTACCCCATGGTCCGTAATAAGTTTTCCATAGACCTCACTATAAACTCTCATCCATCTCCACAGCACATCCATCCATAGCTTCACAAAATATATTTGTTCATCAGTCATTTAAAGTGCATCTTATACACATGGTGCCAGGCACCATGCTAGAAGCCGGGAATACAGAAGAAGAAAAAGAAGAAAAAGGAATACAAGACGACTTCTGCCCTCAGGGAGTTTATAGTCTGGAGGGGAGATAAACATGCCAACAATTGGGAAGATTGCTATAATTTGGGGGTGAAGCTGTCTTGAATCCCTTCTACTGATGAATACACAAAGAACGTGGGGGCACCGCCACGTGTTTCACAGGGATGTGGCTGTCGGATTGGGTTCAAGGGTCAGGGGGTTCAGGCAAGGTTTGCAGAAGATGTTGTTGGAAAAGAGACTTATACCAAGAGTAATTTTCATTCCCCACAGCAAGAACTATTTGTCAGGACTCTCTTCCCCTCCTCCTGGATCACAGGACACGGGAGCTCCGGGCCCGACAAGAATGCTACCGGTGAGGGTGGCCTAATTTGACTTCTTTCCCCATCTTTATCCTGACCTCAGTCTTAATCAGATTGTTCCTAACTCTAACCTCATTCTCAACCTTGGGTGCCTAGCTTGGATCAGGACTCTTATTTGGACCTAACCCCACTTTAATAGTGACCCTGAATCTGAACTGAGAACACCAATAGTAACAGTTGTCCCAACACCACCAATGAATCCATACTCAGCCCTCAACTGTCCCTGATGTAACCCAGATCCCAATATCAGAAGTGACCTGAAGTATCCACCAATCTCAGTCCTTTCTCAGCCTCCCCCACTAAACCGGCCATGATTTTAATCTCAACACAAACCCATCTCTAACCCAGTGTGGGCATTAATGCCATCCTTAAATGCTACCCTATGTGAAGCCAGTGCTTTCATGGAGAAATGTCCAATTCCTTGTCACTCATCCAGAAAGTAGGTGGTTTTTGAAGTTTTAATCTGAAGCCGTGTCTTTAAAGCTAAGACTTGTGTTTATCCCGAGCATGACCTGCCACCTCTGACCTCTTTCCCTCGGAAGCTGGAAGATCTATGCCCCTGGCTTCCCCTGCATGGTAGACGTCAACAGCTTTCAGGAGATGGAGTCAGACAAGAAATTTGCCTTGACAAAGACGACAACTTGTGTAGACCAGGGTGACAGGTGAAGATTAAAGCTTGGGAAGGAGGGGAAAGGAAGTCAAGTGGAAGGTCTGTCGGGAGGATGGGGTCCTGATAGCCAGGAAGGAGGGGTAGGGGTCTATGACAATGCAGTTTCATTCAAGCATCAGGATGGGAGATGGCCCCAAAGGGTCTGGCACAGGGGACAAGAGTGAGGAGGTTATTTTAGCTCAGGAGCAGAGAGGGCAGGGGAGGAGCCGGGAGTAAGAGAGACCCAGGGACTTGGAAGGCAGGAAAGAGGGAAGGAGTTGAGCAGCTGGGCTTCAGGGCCCACTGACTGGTTTCTGTCTTTCTACTCCCCCGACCCCCAGCAGTGGGAATCGGTACCTGCCCGGCTTCCCCATGAAAATTGACATCCCATCCCTGATGTACATGGAGCCCAATGTTCGATACTCAGCCACCAAGACGATCTCGCTGCTCTTCAATGCCATCCCTGCGTAAGGCCATTGTCCCTCTAATGAACATCTTACATCTCTGCCCATCCATCCCCCTCCCCGTGCTCCCAGACTGCCCCTTCTCCCTATTCCCAGTATCCCCTCTCCCTGCCCCAGTCCCTCCTCTCTGGACTCATTCCCTCTCCCTGCCCCACAGTCTTCCCTCTCTACATGCCCCCTGCCCCCTTCCTGCCCTTGTCTCCCCCTTGTGCTCCCCAGTTCCCCTCTCCCTGCCCCCAGACTCCTCAGCCTCTGCTTTCATGATTGAACTCCTCGTGGTTTTCCCACCCACTGGGTGTTAATTGGGCCCCCAGCGAGTGTGTGTGCAGTGAGTGAGTGAGTGCTTAGGAGCCCAGGTGACATCGTTCCTGGGCCTGTCCGATCATTCATCCCCCCTTGCCACCCTCCCTTCCCCAGGTGCCCACACTTTTCAGGGCACATCACTTTTTTTTTTTTTTTTTGAGACGGAGTTTCACTCCTGTCGCCCAGGCTGGAGTGCAGTGCCGCGATCTCGGCTCACCGCAACCTCTGCCTCCTGGGTTCAAGCGATTCTCCTGCCTCAGCCTCCTGAGTAGCTGGGACTACAGGCAGGTGCCACCATGCCGGCTAATTTTGTATTTTTAGTAGAGATGGGGTTTCTTCATGTTGGTTAGGCTGGTCTCAAACTCCCGACCTCAGGTGATCCATCTGCCTTTGCCTCCCAAAGTGCTGGGATTACAGGCATGAGCCACCACGCCCAGCCCACACATCTTTATACATCCTATGTTATTGACCTATTGCCACACGCCTACTTGTTCCATGTTCCATTCCTTTTGTTGTTGTTGTTGTTGTTTTGAGACGGAGTCTCACTCTGTTGCTCAGGCTGGAGTGCAGTGGCTCGATCTTGGCTCACTGCAGTCTCCACTTCCTGGGTTCAAGCAATTCTCCCACCTCAGCCTCCCGAGTAGCTGGGATTACAGAGATGCACCACCACGCCTGGCTAATTTTTGCATTTTTAGTAGAGACGGGGTTTCACCATGTTGGCCAGGCTGGTCTCGAACTCCTGACCTCAGGTGATCGGCCCATCTTGGCCTCCCAAAGTGCTGGGATTATAGGCGTGAGCCACCGCATCTGGCCTCCATTCCCTTTCCTTTGATTCAGCTTATTTAGTGAGTGCATATTATGAACTGGATATGGTGGGGCAGACATAGCCAAGTCCTTGCCCTGAGGAGCTCATAGTATAATGGGGATAATATATGTCCACTGGGCTTACAATACAATGTGGGAAATGATGAGTGTGAAAGATCCAAGGCATGTGTTCATGGAGGAGTTCATGTGTGCAAGGAGGAGTTCAGGCAATGCTCCATAAAGGACTTTGCTTCTGAGCTGTGCCTAGAAGAGATAGATTTTTATCATAGAGATGGAGTAGATGGCTTTCTACCAGAGGTGAAGATTAAATGAAGACCTGGAAGTGGGGGAAAGCCATTTTAATTTCAAGCATGCTTCTCCATATTATAAAATAATGTTGCAGGGCATGGTGGGGCACATCTGCTACTTGGGAGGTACTACATGGTAGTGCCTGCTACTTGGGAGGTTGAGGCAGGAGGATTGCTTGAGCCCAGGAGTTTGAAGCTGCAGTGAGCTATGATTGTGTCTCTAAACAGCCACTGCACTCCAGCCTCGGTAACACAGGGAGATCCCATCTTAAAAAGAAGGAAAAAAAAAATAGTGCTCACTGTAAAAATTCAAACAGCACAGACATCCACAAAGTGAAGAGTATGCATCTCTCCACGTGCCAGCCCCTCTTCTACCTTCCAGTGTACAAAGCATGTCTCTGATCATGTTTGGAGAGCGGGTCTTGGTTGGCCCTGTCTAATGCCTAGGGTGGGAGAAAATACTGGAAAGGTTGGTAGAAGCTGGCTGGTGGGGATCTCCATGGGCTAGTCAGGCTTGGCAGCTGGGGCTCTGTCCTGTAGGCAGAGGGGAGCCAGTGGAGGTCTGTGACAAGAGGGCAGCTTGGAGAATACAGGCCAAAACACCAGTGAGGGTGGCTTGTCTGCACCATAGGGCCGTGTGTGCCAACTTTATGTGCAAGTGCAATGACCTGTCTTAGGGATGGCTGCATATGAACCAGGGTCTTCCGAGGCCACAGAGCCTCCACCGGGTACTAGACTTTTTCTCCCATGTGGATTGTTAGGCATCTCTACTCTGGGGATGGACCCCGTCAGTTCCTCCAGGCAGAGGGGCACACAGTGATTCCCAGCAGACTCTAGCCCCCAGACCTCACCCTCATCTTTTCCTCTCCCATCAGGTCCTTGGGAATGAAGCTTCGAGGGCTGTTGGATCGCAAGGGCTCCTGGAAGAAGCTGGATGACATGCAGAACATCTTCTGGTGCCATAAGACCTTCACGACAAGTGAGCAGAGCCAGGCAGGAGATGTCTACCCCTCACCTTATCTCATGCTCAGACCCCTTCCTCTCCTTCCTGGGAAAGGGCCCTCTCCCAGCCCTCCCAGGGAGACTGCTGGATTTGAGTGGGAGGGGCTCCTGGCTTCACTGGTGGCATCTCCCAGATTCCTCTGGAGAACAAAGCACCTTCTCTGAGGAGGGGACAAAAACAGGGGATTCAGGAGAGAGAGACACTCTGCTTGCCTGGGAGAGGGTCACAGTCATTTAGGGAATCTTGATCCTCATCAGGGACACACGACTCTCTTCCCCTACTCCAACCACCAAGTGCTCCGGGCTTTGGGTCCAGAAAGGCTTAGGTTCTCAAATCCCTGCTCTGCCACTCAGCTGTGCAAGTCACTCCATCTCTCTGACCCTTAGTGTCTAGTATTAAATTGAAGATATAATGATTCCTACCTCATAGAGTTTTTGGGAAGAAAACCTAAACCACAATGATAAGCAAAGGACTTGGCAGGACTAGGATCTAGGGAAGTAGTTTCTAGACCAACTGGTCCCCTCTCTTGTATCCCAGAGTATGTCACAGAGCACTGGTGTGAAGATCACTTCTTTGGGTACCAGTACCTGAATGGTGTCAATCCCGTCATGCTCCACTGCATCTCTAGCTTGCCCAGCAAGCTGCCTGTCACCAATGACATGGTGGCCCCCTTGCTGGGACAGGACACATGCCTGCAGACAGAGCTAGAGGTGGGTAAGGATCTGGGCAGTGGGCCTGATAGGTGGGAGGTGGGTGTGTCACCATTATGGACAAGGGATGTGTGTGGAGGGTATGGAAATGGCCTGGGCTGCATTTCACCTGTGGGCCTCATCCTCTGGGCAGCCATGGTCCTGCACACTTTAAGTAGAGCAGATACGGATGAGGGTCAGACTGGGGTTGGGAGGCTTTGAGGCCTGAGATGGGGCCTGGTGAAATGGTGTGAACGCGCAGGGTGGCTGCAGGGACATCTTTGAGGAAGGCTTGCCCTTGTTTTGAGGCCTCCTGAAGAGGTGCTGAGGCCTAGAGGAAAGCTGTTTTAGGACAGGCCAATGGTAGGGCCACCAGATGCATCAGGGAAGATCACGGAGAACTAGGAGCTCTGAGGTTGTCGGAGACGAGGCTAACCCAGTCTTTTTGGGGCAGTCAAGCCCTCAGGCATTCTCCTCCAGAAAGCTAGAGACATGGTTGGTCAGTTCTCATGTGTTCATTTAGCTGTTGCTGGATACATAGTGCTCAGATGTCAGAAGGGGATTCCATCTGAGTTGAGAGTGGGAAGGACTAGGTATGAGGTGAGGAGGAGAGGACGCTGGCTTGTCTCAGCAGGCGAGCTGTTGCACAAGGAGGGACTCAGCTGGACCTCATTCCGGACATTTTGGGAAGGGCGGGGTACCCCACTTTGGCCATTAATTCAGGCACCAAGAATTTCTGAGACCTCAGCTGGGGGCCTCAGCTCCTCTCTGGGGTGGAAGTGGGCAGGGAAATGGGAGGGAAGTGGAGCGCGAGTAGGGAGGGACACTCAGCCTCTGTGTGCCTTCTGCAGAGGGGGAACATCTTCCTAGCGGACTACTGGATCCTGGCGGAGGCCCCCACCCACTGCCTAAACGGCCGCCAGCAGTACGTGGCCGCCCCACTGTGCCTGCTGTGGCTCAGCCCCCAGGGGGCGCTGGTGCCCTTGGCCATCCAGGTGAGCCCGGCGCCGCCGCCCCGGGATGGGGGCTCAGGTGCTAACCGCCAGCCCGGAGCCCCATCATCCCTCGTTCCTTTCGGACGCAGCTCAGCCAGACCCCCGGGCCTGACAGCCCCATCTTCCTGCCCACTGACTCCGAATGGGACTGGCTGCTGGCCAAGACGTGGGTGCGCAACTCTGAGTTCCTGGTGCACGAAAACAACACGCACTTTCTGTGCACGCATTTGCTGTGCGAGGCCTTCGCCATGGCCACGCTGCGCCAGCTGCCGCTCTGCCACCCCATCTACAAGGTCCGCGACCCCGGGTGGGGGCCCAGCGGGGCAGGGGCCGGGCGGCCTTGTCCCCGGCCTTCAGCTCACGTGATCCGCTCCGCTCGCAGCTCCTACTCCCCCACACTCGATACACGCTGCAGGTGAACACCATCGCGAGGGCCACGCTGCTCAACCCCGAGGGCCTCGTGGACCAGGTGCGGCCTCCCTGCCGGGTCACTGATCTCCGCCCCCGAAGACGCTTTGCCCCGCTACCCGCCCCCAAGCCCTGTTCTGCGCCCAAGCCCCTTGTGAGGACACCTGGGGTGTGAGAACACCTGTACAATCACTGCCTCTTCCACCAGCCCCGCCCACTCCGCCGGTCTCCGGTCTCCTACCGGCCCCCTTCACAGACCCTGTCTCCCCCGCCCCCGCAGCCTCACCGCCCCCGCCCACCGCCCCCAGCCCCGCCGGGCCACGGGTCCACAGGCAGGGCAGCCTCATCCTGAGCCCCAGCACTACCCTCAGCTGACCCTGAGCCCAGCCAGGCTCCCCGGCTTTCAGTTCATTCTTTTAGTTACCAAATACCTAAGGATCTCCTCCCACGCACGTAATGGGGCGTCAAGCTGCGCAGCCTGCGTCAGGCAGGCCCTCGTGGGTATTTGATCCGTGGATTGCTTGGTGAACCGAAGAAGGCCCTCCTTGGGCCGAGTCCCCAGCCCCATCTCGTGCCCAGACACTAGGGTGGGGATTGGGCCGGCCCGGGAGCCGAGCTGTGCTGTGTCCTCAGGTCACGTCCATCGGGAGGCAAGGCCTCATCTACCTCATGAGCACGGGCCTGGCCCACTTCACCTACACCAATTTCTGCCTTCCGGACAGCCTGCGGGCCCGCGGCGTCCTGGCTATCCCCAACTACCACTACCGAGACGACGGCCTGAAGATCTGGGCGGCCATTGAGAGGTGCGAGGTGCGGGGCGGGACCAGCAGTCCCACCAGGGTCTCCTGGCCTGGGACATTGTGGTCCCTGCGCTCATGGCGCCTGGGGATTTCAGGTGTTTTCACACCCTAGCATAGGGAATTCTTGAGGGTATGAATTGAGTTTGGGGTCCCTTCTGAAATGGCAGGTAGCTGCCGTCCAGAGAGGGGCTTGGGGGTGTGTGGATGCAGGGGAAGGAGGGGGTGTCCAGTGGAGTCAGAGTATCAGGGCTGGTGCATCATTTAAGCATGGGCTGGGGCCTGTGGCAGGCAGGTCTTCCTTCCTCCTGGGTGGGGAGGGGGGTGGCAGCATGAATCAGACTCTTCGTGCACTCCCCTGCCCACCCCCCAGGCCCCTGTGCAGGAAGGAAGTGTGGAGCACCCATGGCTCAGGAGTGAGTGGGACTTAAGGGAAGCCCGGCCACTCAGATTCCAGCTGCACCTGGGGGTCCCTGCTGAACCCCCATGGCTATCTGTCTCTCTGCCGCCTGAGCAGCAGTGGGCCTCGGTTTCCTGGCCAGGACTGAGCCCGTGGTTACTCCAGTGGTACCAGCATCTCTTTCCTGCAGCTTTGTCTCAGAAATCGTGGGCTACTATTATCCCAGTGACGCATCTGTGCAGCAGGATTCGGAGCTGCAGGCCTGGACTGGCGAGATTTTTGCTCAGGCGTTCCTGGGCCGGGAAAGCTCAGGTATCCCCTCTCTATCCCACTTTCCGTGTAGCTCTGATGAGCTAGCACTTGCTTGGCCACACCCTACTCCCATCAGTTATTTATTGACCAGCCTTTGAAGTAGATACTATTAATATCCCCAACTAGCAGATATGGAAAGAGGCACAAAGAAGGCTGTGCAAGGCGGGTTCCGAGCCAGCTCCGACTGTCTCCAAAGCCATTGCTGCATCCACTGCTCTGTGCCCCTCTGGTCCCTTGACCTTTCCACAAGCCCACCCATTCATTTCAGCTTCCTGAGCTCTGTCAATATTCTGCAACGTGCAGTGGGAGCCATCTCTGACTTCAGAGGATTCTGGGAACTTTCTCTCAAACCCTCCTTCCTGTCCTGCCACGTGGCCCCTCCAGCCACCAACCTCTCTTCCTTTCTTTCTTTCTTTCTTTCTTTCTTTCTTTCTTTCTTTCTTTCTTTCTTTCTTTCTTTCTTTCTTTCCTTCCTTTCTTTCTTTCTCTCTCTCTCTCTCTCCTTCCTTTCTTTCTTTCTTTCTTTCTTTCTTTCTTTCTTTCTTTCTTTCTTTCTTTCTTTCTTTCTTTCTTTCTTTCTTTCTTTCTTTCTTTCTTTCTTTCTTTCTTTCTTTCTTTCTTTCTTTCTTTCTTTCTTTCTTTCTTTCTTTCTTTCTTGTTTTTTTTTTTGAGACGGAGTCTCCCTCTGTCGCCCAGGCTGGAGTGCAGTGGCGCGATCTCTGCTCACTGCAAGCTCCGCCTCCCGGGTTCACGCCATTCTCCTGCCTCAACCTCCGGAGTAGCTGGGACTACAGGCACCCGCCACCACGCCCAGCTAATTTTTTGTGTTTTTAGTAGAGACAGGATTTCACCATGTTAGCCAGGATGGTCTCGATCTCCTGACCTCATGATCCGCCCGCCTCAGCCTCCCAAAGTGCTGGGATTACAGACGTGAGCCACCTCGCCTGGTGCGAGACAGAGTCTTACTTTGTTGCCCAGGCTGGAGTGTGGAGGCACAATCTCGGCTTACTGCAACCTCCACCTCCTGGGTTCAAGAGATTCTGCTGCCTCAGTCTCCCGAGTAGCTGGGATTACAGGCGTCTGCCACCACATCTGGCTAATTTTTGTATTTTTAGTAGAGATGCAGTTTTGCCATGTTGGACAGGCTGGTCTTGAACTCCTGACCTCAGGTGATCTGCCCACCTCGGCCTCCCGAAGTACTGGGATTACAGGTGTGAGCCACCGCACCCGGCCTTGGAGTTTTTAAAGGGTGACCCTTCCCTGTGTTTTGCAAACCTGCTATTAATCATGATCAGTGCTGATCCTGACAGCTCCTCCCTCCTTGGGCAGTTGTTTCATATTTGGGGTGTCTGTTTCCTACTTAAGACCCAAAGGGGGATCTAATTACTGTTAATTCAACTCTCCTATCTTACTTTATTTCATTTTTCTCTGATTTAATGCATCAGAACACTCTTCAGATTGACAACAGCTCTTCCAACAAGTATAAACCTATTGTAGATTCATATACAGCATTTAAAAAGGGAAAACACACTTATTAACCTCAGTCAGTCTGAGGTTAATTCAACTCTCCTATCTTACTTTATTACATTTTTTTCTCTGAGTTAGTGCATCAGAACATTCTGCAGATTGACAACAGCTCTTTCAATGAGTACAAACCTATTATAGAGTCACATACAGTATTTAAAAAGGGAAAACACACAAGTTAACCTCCACCTCCCGGTTCAAGCGATTCTCCTGTCTCAGCCTCCCGAGTAGCTGGGACTACAGTCGCACACTACCACGCCCGGATAATTTTTGTATTTTTAGTAGAGATGGGGTTTCTTTCACCATTTCGGTCAGGTTCCATATTCCAATGGGGGAAAAATAGGCAATATGAACTACGGAAAAGTTCCTATAGATGGTCTGTCCACTTCTTTGTTTTTATTTTTTGTTTTTGCTCATGTTTTGTTTTTTTGAGACAGGGTCTTGCTCTGTTGCTTAGGCTGGTCTCAAACTCCTGGGCTCTATTGATTCTCCTGTCTCAGCCTTCCAAGTAGCTGACACTACAGGTGTGTCTGCCTGCTTTACTTTTTTGTTCTCAGCCTCCGAGTTTAGAGACTCAACCAGGAACAGAACCTTCAGAAAACTCCCACACACTCCCAGGCGGATGTCTGGTCTTGCCTCCCAACCTCTCTGTTCTGTTGCATCAGCCTCCGTCCAGTCAGCCTGACTCCAAACCTTAGTTCTCTTTGACTCATGTTTCCCTCTCTGTCTTCCTAAATCCAGTTAGGTGGCTGATCCCTACTGTCACCACCCTAGTTGTAGTCTTCCTCATAGTGCTCTGGAATTGTGGCAGCTGCTTCTCAACCAGTCCCACCTCTCCCAGCCTCTCGCTGCTTGCCCGCCAAGCCTGCAGGGCCACCACCCTGCTAATCCTCTGAAATACTGCCCAGAAACCACATGGCCCTGCATGCCTCTGCAGCCTCACCTCCAATTAGGTCCCCTCCCTGTTCCCTCACCCTGTTAATACCCCGTGCCTTCCTACTCTGGCTTTTTTTTTTTTTTTTTTTTTTTGAGGCGGGGTCTCACTTTGATGCTCAGACTGGAGTGCAGTGGTGTGATCACAGCTCACTGCAGCCTTGACCTCCCAGGCTCAAGTGATCCTCATGCCTCAGCCTCCCTGGTAGCTGGGACTACAGGCATGCACCACCACATCACTGCATCCAGTTACCTTTTTAAAAAATGTTTTTTAGAGACAAGGTCTTGCTATGTTGCCCAGGCTGGTCTCAAACTCCTGGGCTTGAGCAATCCTCCCACCTCTGCCTCCCATGCTCTGGCTTCTTACCCTCTCATGCATTCCTTCATTCAACCAATAATTACCGGGCTCTTGGTATTTATTAAGTATTGTTCTAGGTGCTGAGGTTTAGTAGTGAAAAAGACAAAAATTCTGGCCTTAGTTGAGCTTAACATTCTTTTGGAGAGAGAAAGAGAGAATCAACAAACACATGTCAGGTGGTTATGAATGCTAAGAGGAAAACTGAAACAGCATCAGGGGATACAGTGTGTCAAGGTAAAGAGATCATTTCAGGGAGGTGGCCAGGGCAGGCCTCTCAGGAGCTGATGCATTAGTAGCTGAAGGAAGGAGAGGTGCTAGTTCTGAAGATAATTGGGGCAAGAGTAGCAGGCAGAGGTATAGTAAGTGTGCAGGCCCTGAATTCTGAATGTGCTGGTGCATTTGAGAACTATCAGGAAGGCCTGCACAGCTGGAGTCGAATAAGTGAACAGCCAGGAAGGAAATGAAGTGGGAGAAGGGGCTGGGGCCCAATCAAGTAGGGCCATGACAAGGTGAGTGAGATGGGAAGCCCTCCGAGGGTTTTAGCGAGGGGTGACGTAATCTGACGGGCATTTGTCCTTGCCAGTGTGCAGTGTGAGGTGGTGTAGATGCTTAGGTGGGGACGTCAGGTAAGCTGCCTCCAGGGTAATGCCCACGGCTGAGTCTGGAGCTCAGACGCCAGGCACAGCCAGAGAAGGGAATTTGGGAGTTGTTGGCAAGTGGGAGGTGGTTAGAGCCATGGACTTGGATGAGATGAGTGAGGCACAGCATGAATGGACCAAGGGCTGAGCCTTGGAGCTCTCCCCTCTCCAATCCTGAAATGCTTTTCTCTGTTGTCTTTTTTCCATTGGAGGCTCATCCATCTTTCAACTCACAAGGCCCCTCTTGTCCTCCAGGAGGCCTCCACTAACCACTCTGCTCCTGGTGCCCCTTTCTGCCCTGCTTGCCCTCTCCTCAAAGAGCCAAGCTCTGGTCTTAGAAGCTTCCTTCTGCTTCTGTTACTGTGAGCTTTTCAGTAACACGCCCTCTGCGTGGGTCTCTGCTGCTAAGCCCAGCAGAGGATGGTTGGATACTGGGTGCTTGAACAAATCTTGGTGAACCGGGTAGGATTAAATCATTACATCCTAATAGGGGCTGCAGATTGAAGTGCCTTGGAAGTCAGGGAGAGGCAGCTGGGCACTTGGGCTTGAAGCTGCCTCTGTCATTGGCCCTGCCTGCCGGGGATTTTCTGGCCAGATCCCAGCCCCCATCTCCTATCCTGACCCACTTCAGAGACCACAAATCTTGGTGGTGGCCATCCCTAACCAGCCCGACAAGACAGTCATGGCTCGGTGTTCCCTACTTCCTCACTTTCCCCCTGTGGTGAGCCCCAGTCCTGAGCTGGCCCTAGGAATCCAGTACCTTCCATCCACACCCTCTACCCTTCCTCCCCACACCCAGGTTTCCCAAGCCGGCTGTGCACCCCAGGAGAGATGGTGAAGTTCCTCACTGCAATCATCTTCAATTGCTCTGCCCAGCACGCTGCTGTCAACAGTGGGCAGGTGAGGCTACAAAGGGCAGGCCTGGGGACATCAGGTCTCAGCAATGGACTTGAGGCCTGAATTTGGGTTGAGAGCTTGGGTGGGTCAGCGTTGGGGTGGGTTTATGATTAGACTTGGGGTTGGAGTGGCAGCTGAGTGGGGTGAAGGGTTGGCATTGGGTGATGACTGGGTGGAGCTGGGTCCAAGGTTGTAATGGTGATTCAAGTTGATGTTAATTTGGGAGAAGAACTTAGGGGCTCCTCTCATGGTTAGAACCCAGCCAGGTGGAGTAGCAGCTTGCTCTGTGTGGCATGGCAACCCAAGGCCCTTTTCTAGGATTACCTCCACTCTGGGGCCACCTCCTTCCCTAGTGACTCACCCCACCGAGTCCTGGAACACTGGGCGGGGAGTGACAAGGAGTAAGCTGGCTTCCTGCCCCACTTCTGGGACTTTCCACTCCCTACCCTTTCCTCTCTTGCCTTTCCATGATCCCCTCATTTCCCAGCTCTCTTGCCTTTCCGTGATCCCCTCATTTCCCAACTATCACCTCTAGGACGGCAGAGGTGGAATCAGGGATGGTGAAGAGGGAGGTGATACTCCCCTTCTGGCCAACTGACCCAACTGGGATGGGGGTCTCCACAGCATGACTTTGGGGCCTGGATGCCCAATGCTCCATCATCCATGAGGCAGCCCCCACCCCAGACCAAGGGGACCACCACCCTGAAGACTTACCTAGACACCCTCCCTGAAGTGAACATCAGCTGTAACAACCTCCTCCTCTTCTGGTTGGTTAGCCAAGAACCCAAGGACCAGGTGTGTATACGGGATGTTGAGGGGAGTAGGGTTCTTTAGGGCCACCAGTAGGGGTGGTGGTGGCTTCGTCTGGGGGCTTGAGGACTGATCGACGGGATTTATGTTCACTGCAGAACTGCCTTGGGTTCTTCAATTTCTTCAGAAAATGATAATCCCAAAAGACATAGACTGAAGCAAATACCAGTTTAGTTACCAATCTGTCCGTCCATCCATTTATCCGAATGTTCATTCATCAACTACTCATGTGTTAATGCAAACATTCAATAAACATTTGTTGGATACTTCCTATGTGTCCACACAGCACTGGGCACCAGGCCTATAACGCTGGCTGAGACCTTCCTGCCTTCAAGAAGCCTGTGGTCTAGTTGAGGAGACATACAGGTCAATGAAAAAGGGCACCACCGTGTTGTAGGAGTTACTTATATGTTAATTTCTCCATTCAACACACACTTCCTGAGTACCAGTGGTGACCCAGACACTGTTATGGGCAGCTATGAAACTTGTCCATGTGAGCTTACAGTCCAGTGATAGGGGTAAGGACAGGGCCCTGAGGAACCTAAATGGGTCTGGGGGAACCCAGGAAGGCTTCTTGGAGAAAGTGACATCTAAGTTGAAATCTGCAGGACAAGTAGGAGTTGGACAGAGAGGAAGAGCAGGGCTCTTTTTTAGGGAGGGGGAAGAACAGGACCAAGGAGCGAAGGCGAGAAATCACTGGTGTGTTTGTAGGATCACAAATGGAAATAGCAGAGCGGAGAGGAAGGTAGGGCTTTGTCTGCACAGTGTTCGTTTAGAAGACAAAGGGTAGCCAATCAAGGCTTCCCCCACCCCCCCACATGGAGTCTTGCTCTGTCACCCAGGCTGGAGTGCAATGGTGCGATATCAGCTCACTGCAACCTCCGCCTCCCAGGTTTAAGCGATTCTCCTGCCTCAGCCTCCCGAGTAGCTGGGATTACAGGCACCCACCACTGTGCCCAGCTAATTTTTGTATTTTTAGTAGAGATGGGGTTTCACCATGTTGGCCAGGCTGGTCTCGAATTCCTGACCTTGTGATCCACCCATCTTGGCCTCCCAAAGTGCTGGAATTACAGGTGTGAGCCACCGCGCACGGCCGCCAATCAAGACTTTTAAGCCTGAGGCCCAATGGTTAAATCTGCTTTAGCTAGGGTGCTCCTGTGGCTGCGTGAATGGATGCAAAGGGCAACTTTGGAGGCAGGAGGCTAGAGAGGGGCCAATATCTGAGTTTAGGCCAGGCAAGTAGCCCTTTATCACTGGTTCCCATCATCTTTGTTTCCACCCAGCCGTCTTGCACACAAGCTCTCTAACAGGTGAATATTCTTATTTCTCACGCTTGACTCCCTTTGGTGCTGGAAAGATTCCAGATGTTGCTGGGCACAGTGGCTCGTGCCTGCAATCCCAGCACTTTGGGAGGCTGAGGCCGGTGGATTGCTTGAGCCTAGGAATTCAAGAGCAGCCTAGGAAACATGGTGAAACCCTGTCTCTACCCAAAACACAAAAATTAATCGGGCGTATTAGTGTGTGCCTGTGGTCCCAGCTGCTTGGGGGGAGCTAAAGTGGGAGGATCACTTGAGCCCAGGAAGTAAAAAAATGCAGTGAGCCATGTTCACGCCACTGCACGCCAGCCTGGGTGACACAAAAACAAAAAACAAAAAACAAAAAAACAACAAAAAAAGAAAGATCCCACATATTTGATCTTCCTGGCAAGTTTTAACTTGCTACCTTATATCCTGGGAATGGCAGGACTCTGGGTCCTGTCCCTATCTGGTCCCAGAGGGATGACAGATAAGTAGACAACAGCATGAGGGTGGAGGGCTCTCTCCTATAAACTATAGAAAGTTTAACTTGGAAATTTATAACAACAATAATAATGGCAGCTGTCACTGAGGAGCCATCATGTCTCAGTTATTAAATCAGATCCTTTGTGTACATGATTTTAAAATGTGAACCAAATACATAGCTCTATTTAAAATGCTTGGCAGCCAGGCGTGGTGGCTCACGCCTGTAATCCCAGCACATTGGGAGGCCGAGGTGGGTGGATCACCTGAGGTCAGGAGTTCGAGATCAGCCTGGCCAACATGGTGAAACCCCCATCTCTACTAAAAATACAAAAATTAGGTGGGCATGATGATGCATGCCTGTAACCCAGCTACTCAGAAGGCTGAGGTAAGAGAATCACTTAAACCCGGGAGGCAGAGGTTGCAGTGAGCTGAGATGGTACCACTGAACTCCAGCCTGGGCAACAAGAGTGAAGTTCCATCTCAAAAAAAAAAAAACAAAAAAAAAGCAGCTTGGCACCGTGCTGGCATATAAATGTTCAATAAATGGTAGTTCCACTTCACAGGGGAGAAAACTGAGGTTCAGGGAGATTCAGCAATTTGTTCAACAGCACAGAGCTAGTAAGTAGGCTTTGAATCCAGTGTCATATTTCTGTCTTCTGCTGTGTTTTCTCTTTCTTTCTCTGGTGTGTGTGTGTGTTCTGTTTTTTTGATGGCTATACTACAGTTTTAGAAATCAAGTATTAAGCCAGGTGCAATGGCACAGGCCTGTAGTCCCAGCTACTCAGGAGGCCGCAGAGAGAGGATTCCTAGAGGCTAGGAGTTCAAGGCTGCAGTGTGCATGACCATGCCTGTGAATAGCCACTGCACTTCAGCCTGGGCCACATAACAAGACCCCATCTTTAAGAAAGAAAAGAAAAAAAGAAATTAGATGTCAATCTGATTTTAAAAACATAAAACTTGTTATTTCAAAAAAAACCACAATACAATAAAATAAAAAAACTACAGACATATTTCTTTTTTCTTAAGATTCTCTGGATCAGAAATTTGGGCAGGGCTAGGCTGGGCAGTCCAGAGGGTACTGGCTAGGGTGAAACACTTGCATGCAATCAGCTGGTGACTGGGCTGTGCTGGAAGTTCCCAGAAGGCTTTGCTCACATGTCTGGGGCCTCAGTGCACCTGTGTGGTTTTTCTCTCTCTCCATATGCTGTCTTATCCCCCAGGACTCTCCAAGGGGTCTCTCCCCAGCAGGATAGCTGGACTTCCTCATAGCACGGTGGCTGGCTTCCAAGATTGCAAACAAGCTTTCAGATTTCTTCAAGTCTAGGCCCAGAAGTGGCAGACTGTCACTTACAGCACTATTTTTTTTGCTTCCGTCCCTCCCTCCCCCCTCTCCCTCCCTCCCTCTCTTTCTTTCTCTCTCTTTCTCTCTTTTGACAGGGTCAGGTTGTCTGAAAAAAAGCCTGGTCAACTCCAGACAGGGTCACCCAGGCTGGAGTGCAGTGACATGATCATGGCTCACTGCATCCTCAAACTCCTGGGCTCAAGAAATTCTCTCACCCCAGCCTCTCCTGTAGCTGAGGCCACAGGCATCACCACGCCTGGCTAATTTTTTGATTTTTGGTAGAGACAGGGTCTTGTTATATTGCCCAGGCTGGTCTTGAACTCCTGGGCTAAAGTGATCCTCCTGCCTTAGCCTCCCAATGTGCTGGGATTATAGGTGTGAGCCACTGCATCTGGCCTAGACAATTCTAATCAAGGAGGAAAATAAAAAAGAGAAAGAAAGGGAACATAAATACACAGCATTAGGAATGGGAAAGGCGTATAACCACAAATGCAGAGAAGATTTTTTACTTTTTTTTTTTTTTTGAGACAGAGTCTCACTCCGTCACCCAGGCTAGAGTGCAGTGGCGCGGTCTCGGCTCAGTGCAACCTCTGCCTCCCGGGTTCAAGCAATTTTCCTGCCTCAGCCTCCTGAGTAGCTGGGATTACAGGCATGCACCATCACACCTGGCTAATTTTGTACTTTTAGTAGAGATGGGGTTTCTCCATGTTAGTCAGGCTGGTCTCGAACTCCTGACCTCAGGTGATCCACCCATCTCAGGCTTCCAAAGTGCTGGGATTACAGGCGTGAGCCTCCGCGCCCGGCTGGTAGTACTAAGAAGGGCAGTGGGTCTCATTGGAAGGCTCTAGTCCCAGATCCACACCTACCACCCATATGACTTTAGTTATGTAATGGCCTCTCTAAGCCTTATTTCCTTATCTTTAAAGTGAGAATAATAAGAATACCTGTCTTCAGAGTTGATGTATGGTTGCGATGGTTCATGTACAGTGCTTACGTGTTAGCTGTTATTACGAAAATGAAATTATAAGGCCGGGTGCAGTGGCTCATGCCTGTAATCCCAGCACTTTGGGAAGCAGAGGCAAGAGGACCGCTTGGGCCCAGGATTTAAGACCAGCCTGAGTAATATAGTGAGACCTTGTCTCTCCAAAAAAAAAAAAAAAAAGAAAACTAGCCGGGCATGATGGCGTATGGCTGTGATCCCAGCTACTCGGGTGGCTGAGGTGGGAAGATTGCTTAAATTTGGGAGTTCAAGGCTGTGGTAAGCTGTGATCCCATCGCTACACTTCTGCCTGGGTGACAGAGTGAGACCCTGTTTAAACAAAAAAAGAAAAAAATATATATATACTTATTCCACTTAGCTACAACAATCTTAAAAATATATCAGCCAATGAAGGCCAATAGTGAATAATAAAACAATAACACACCATGATAAAGTCTAATTTATTCTAGGAATGAAAGGAATGAAAGGTTGGTTCAACCTTATGAAATCTAGCAATATAGTTCATTACGTCAATAAAGATGCATACCATATAATTATCTCAATATGTGCTGAAAAAGCATTTGATAAATGTGAGCAGCCATTACTAATAAAAACTCAGTGTAAAATGAAACCCCCTTAAGGAGTTTTGATTAGAAGTATATTTCAGGCTGGGTGTAGTGGCTCACGCCTGTAATCTCAGCACTTTGGGAGGCTGAGGCAGGTGGATCACCTGAGGTTTGGAGTTCAAGACCAGCCTGGCCAACATGGTGAAACCTCATCTCTCCTAAAAATAAGAAAATTAGCCAGGCATGGTGGTGGCTACCTGTAATCCCAGCTACTCGGGAGGCTGAGGCAGGAGAAATCACTTGATCCCGGGAGACGGAGGTTGCAGCGAGCCAAGATCGCGCCACTGCACTCCAGCCTGGGTGACAGAGCGAGACTCCGTCTCAAAAAAAAAAAAAAAAAAAAAACAAAAACCAAAAGTATATTTCAAAAAACACTGTATTTATGGTGAGACCATAGATGTCTATTCATTAAAGTCAGAGATAAGAAAATAATGCCCAATGCCCACTATTACTGCTGCTATTTAACATTGATCTGGAGGGCTTCGCCAATGCAACAAAACGAGAAAAAGAATTTGTTAAAGATCAGTAGTATTGGCTGGGCGTGGTGGCTCACATCTGTAATCCCAGCACTTTGGGAGGCCGAGGCGGGCAGATCACGAGGTCAGGAGATCGAGACCATCCTGGCTAATACGGTGAAACCCTGTCTCTACTAAAAATACAAAAAATTAGCCAGGCATGGTGGCAGGCACCTGTAGTCCCAGCTACTCGGGAGGCTGAGGCAGGAGAATAGCGTGAACCCGGGAGGTAGAGCTTGCAGTGAGCCGAGATCGCGCCACTGCACTCCAACCTGGGCGACAGTGCGAGACTCTGTCTCAAAAAAAAAAAAAAAAAAGATCAGTAGTATTGGCAACAATTATATGAAGGTTCTAGTAAATGGGAAGTGTGTGCTGGTTAGGAGGCTGGACCTCTGCGTTGTCGTGATGAGCTGGTTGTGTGATATGATCATGAGGGAGGGACAGTCCTGTACACAGGATGGCAGTGACTGGAGCTCATTGTGATATTTCTCGATAGTGATTGGCTGTGCTGTAAAGTGTGGCAGTGGAGGATGATGGTGATTGTGTTGGCAAAAGTTCCATCACGATGGTTGATTGTGAAGGTACCTTAGAACCAGGATGCTGGTTGTTTTTAGGAGTTGAATTTTGTGAAATTATGAAGTAATTGTTATATTCTTGGGTATATTTCCTGGGCAGTGTTTACTTTGATCTCGGTTGTATGAAAGGTGTGGTTCGTTCTTTTAGTTCACAGAGCAGTTGGATCAGGTATGAAAGGGACCTTTAAAGGTCTAGGCCAGGCACGGTGGCTCACACCTGTAATTCTAGTGCTTTGGGAGGCCAAGGTGGGAGGATCACTTGAGCCCAGGAGTTTGAGGCTGCAGTGGGCTATGATCACACCACTGTACTCCAGCCTGGGCAACAGAGTGAGACCTTGCCTCAAAAATTTTTTTTTCTAGTTCAACCCATCCATTTTCAGATGCAGGAATTGAGTCTCAAAGAGTCAAAGTAACAGGCAGAGGCTTGCCAGCAGAGGCAGTACTGAATTTGGGTTGGCTGGCTCCTACGTCACAGTCTGTCCCCTACTCTGTTTGGGGTTTGGGTGCTGGGGGGCCTCGTGTCAGGATCATGGGGTGGCAGTTTGGGGCAAGTGTTTACAATGGCTGCAACTGGGTTGTGCTACTAGAAGCCACCTTGACTGGATTTGCTGTTACATGTGGTCCTCCGTTATTCCCCATCCCATCTGAATGTCATCCTGACCTCTTACCTGATGTCCTCCCAGAGGCCCCTGGGCACCTACCCAGATGAGCACTTCACAGAGGAGGCCCCGAGGCGGAGCATCGCCGCCTTCCAGAGCCGCCTGGCCCAGATCTCAAGGGACATCCAGGAGCGGAACCAGGGTCTGGCACTGCCCTACACCTACCTGGACCCTCCCCTCATTGAGAACAGCGTCTCCATCTAACCACCCCCAAATACCACCCAAGAAGAAAGAAAGGTCCAAGCATGAGGAGGACCAGTTCCTCAGGTCCTCCAGACCCTTCCATCCTCCCTGTTCTCAGTTCACCTGAACCTTCTCTTCTGCACATGGAGACTTTTGCAGCCAAGATGGCTCTGACATCATACAAACTGGGCCCTGAGCTGTGAGAGACCAGCACAGCAGCGTCCAGGTTAAAAGCCGCTGACCAAAGTCCAATGCACAATAGCCCCTCCGAAAGGAAGGAACCGCTTCACTTCTTGCCCCACTTGGGGCAGCCTCTTGTTCCAGCCTCTTGGAATGCCCAGCTTGGGTTTCTGAGCTTTTCTCCCTCATCCTCCCCAATCCCCAAACTCCTTCTCCTACCATGCCTTTCTACGTTCTCTTTCTTCCAAGCCTAGAGCCACCAGCCCAGCTTCCTTCTCTGGAAAAGCCTGGAAACTGGGCACAGAAGGACTGTGTGCCTGGGTCTAACATGTGGTCCCCTTTGTCCCTAGCACCTTTAAGGGGAGGGGAAGAATTGGAGGGCAGCTTGCCTGGACCCCTAACGGCTGTTCTCAGGAACAGGTTCCCAGGCCTGGGGTGTTTGTGGAGATCTGTCTTTCTCCAAAGATTTCATCCAACTCCCCTTTCATCCCACTCCCTTTCATCCCATTTTTTTCTTTCTGTCCTTGAGCCCAGTGAGTTCAATAAAAACCAAAATATTTGGCTCTCATTTTGTTTTGCTGCTTTGATGTGTGTGTGTGTATGGGTGGGTGAGGTTGGGGGTGCCAGGGGATTGCAGTGAGGGGCAGCAGTGGATCCGTGGATCATCTATTCTGGAGACAGAAGTGTCCCGGCTCAACGCACTATCCAGCCAAGCCATATATTCCTGCCCTCACCTTCCAGAGTGCATCATCAGGAGGTGAGGGAATGTCTGGATTCAGGGGACTGAGAAGTGGAATAGTGAGTATTTTGTGAAGCCTCAGAGTCTGGGTAATTGTTAACGTTGCCACCGAAATCCAGTTCTCCTCCTGGACACATGGAAGGCTCAGCCTCTGGCCCTCTTGTGGATGGGTACAGTCACAGGATGAGTTTTGGTTGAGTTGGGAGCAGAAGGGATGAGGATCGTCTCCAGGCCACACGGAGACCCCTGATTTCCTTCTCTCTGCCTCTCCCTTCCGGAAGCACATGTTGAGATGGCACTTGCTTGTGTGTCCAAGGGACTGTAGAAGAGGCCCCCGCTGACTGAGCCAGACATGGACTGAGTGAGAAATAAACTTGTCAGGTGAAGCCACTGGAATTTGGGGGTTGTTACTGTGGTATAGTCTAGTTGATCCTGGCCACATGGCTGGTAATATGGGGAGTCTGATTTTCTCCCTTCCAGCCCCACAGCCCTTAAACATAGAGATCTGTGCAGCCTCAAGTCAGTCTCCCCGGTCTTCTTAATCCACAGCCGCCCAACACCCTGGTTTTCTGCTTCCCCAGACCTCAGATCCAGCCCACCTTCCTTCCTTCCTCTGCCACCTGAGTCAAATTCTGTGCCTGACCCAACCCTGGTCATGGCCTCTCTCTGGCGGGATCACAGTGTCTTTGGACAATGACAGGGTAACTGCTCCCCCATCCCTGTGGTGCCCGTGGTAGGGGGATCAGATGGTTTTAGTGTCAACGTAATAGGCGACCCACCCAGAGCTTCACGTGGCTGGGGGCTTTGCGGGCTGCAGTGTGTCTCAGCCCCAGTGCAGACCATGGTCAGTGTTCGTTCCTGGAGTTAGTGGGGATCCACAGGCTGCCTTGGCTGGGGCTGCCATTGTCTAAGAAAACAAAGAAATCATCTAAGAATCTAAGAAATATCTTAAATCATCTAAGAAATATACAGCCAGGCGCGGTGGCTCACGCCTGTAATCCCAGCACTTTGGGAGGCTGAGGCGGGTGGATCATGAGGTCAAGAGAGCGAGACCATCCTGGCCAACATGGTGAAACCCTGTCTCTACTAAAAATACAAAAATTAGCTGGGTGTGGTGGTGTGCGCCTGTAGTTCCAGCTACTCCGGACGCTGAGGCAGGAGAATTGCTTGAACCTGGGAAGCGAAGATTGCAGTGAGCCGAGATCGTGCCACTGCACTCCAGCCTGGTGACAGAGACTCCATCTCAAAGAAAAGAAAAGAAAAGAAAAGAAAACAACATGTGTTTTCAGTACAACCGCAGCTCCACGAAGAGCTCCACGCCTAACCACATTTCCTCCCTAACTAAATTGCCATCCCAAAGCCCTGGCATATTGAAATTCTGGGGCGGCCAACTGTCCCATTACATCCCAGCCCAAGAATCTTCTCTGTTGTCAACCAAACCACTTCTCCCTTTGCTCGCGCGCGCGCGTGTGTGTGTGTGTGTGTGTCTGTGTGTGTGTTGGGGAAGGCTGTCTTTGGCTGTTGAATTTTCACTTTCTGCATCTGTGATCCTTGGAGAAGAGGATCCTCATACCACTGTGCTAAAGAGGTGTGTTTGCAGATATCTCACATGCAGATTGCAACCTAAGGACTTATCCCAAATCACCAGTTTTGTTCACTGTAGAACAAATCAAAGGACTAAGAAATACTCAGGGGCGCCCCCTTGTGGCCACCAGGGGTGAGGGTGAGGCTGAGGCTAGGTGCGCAGTGCAGGCCCCTTTGACCTTGCGCCTGGCTGCCAAGCATTTTAAATAGAGCTATGTATTTGTTTTATTTATTTATTTATTTATTTATTTATTTATTTATTTATTTATTTATTATTCTTTGAGACGGATTTTCGCTCTTGTTGCCCAGACTGGAGTACAATGGCACGATCTCGGCTCACCGCAACCTCCGCCTCCCGGGTTCAAGTGATTCTCCTGCCTCAGCCTCCCGAGTAGCTGGGATTACAGGCATGCACCACCACACCACCCCGGCTAATTTTGTATTTTTAGTAGAGACGGGGTTTCTCCATGTTGGTCAGGCTGGTCTCAAACTCCCAACCTCAGGCGATCCACCCACCTCGGCCTCCCAAAGTGCTGGGATTATAGGCGTGAGCCACCGCGCCTGGCCTGTTTCATATTTTAAAATGGTGTATGCAAAGGATCTGATTCAATGACAGAGACGTGATAGCTCCTCAGTAAGTGACAGCTGCCAGTATTATTGTTGGGTGCGCAGTGCAGGCCCCTTTGACCCTGGGGTTGGAAGCAGCAGTGAAAAGGGCATGGGCATGCTCAGGCACCCTGTCCCCCAAGAGGATGAACACTCCTTGGGCCTCCACAAAGGCAGCATTAGTAGGCATGCCTATCCTGAAAAATGCCCCTGAGCCGGAGAGGGAGGGACCAGGGCGGGTCATTGGAATCTGGTTTTCCAGAAAGGCAGCTTGGAAAGAGATTTATTGGGCAGACACACCTGGTACACTTAGGATGTCCTGCCCTGACTCTGGGGACAGGACATGGGGAGGAGGCTCACATCAAGTTTCTGGAGCCCTGTGAGGTCAGGAGCTCCCCTCAGCTTACACTCTGCCCTCCACTGTTTTTTGGTCAGTCTAAAAGGTCAACTGGTATAATGGGAAGCACACCAGCCTCCTTCCCCAGCTGATCTTGAGCAAGTCCCTCGGCCTCAGTGGTCCCAACCTGTCAGATACATGAGTGGGACGAGAAGACCTGAAAAGCCCTTTCCAGCGTTGACATCCTAGCATCGCTTTGCTTCGTGGCTCTTGTCTGCCTAGATGCTGTTCTAGATTTTGGGAGAGCAGCTGTGAGCTCCCCAGGCACAACCCCTTCTTTCACCCTTCTTATGGGTGCTGGAGAGACAGACAATAAACGCATCAATAAACAGATAAAGATCCTTTTGGGCGGTGGCAAGTGCAGTTGGAGATACAACCAGGTGGCAGGGTAGCATGATGGAGGGCGGAGGGCGGGGAAACATGAGGGACGGTGGTCAGGGAGGGACTCTGAGGAGGTGACACTAGAGTTGAGACCTGGATGACATGAACAACACACGCTTAGGGTCGGGTGCGGTGGCTCACTCCTGTAATCCCAGCACTTTGGGAGGCTGAGACAGGCAAATCGCTTGAGCTCAGGAGTTTGAGACCAGTCCCGGCCACGTGGCAAAATCCCATCTCTACCAAAAGATACAAAAAATTAGCCAGGTGGACTACGCCTGTGGTCCCAGCTACTCGGGAGACCAAGGTGGGAGGATCGCTTGAGCCTGAGAGGTGGAGGTTGCAGTGAGCTGAGATTGCACCACTGCACTCCAGCCTAGGTGACAGAGTGAGACACCGTCTCAAAACAAACAAACAAACAAACAAACAAACAAAACCACTCTTGAAACAGCTTGAACAGCTTGGTTGAAACAGCTTGAACAGCTTGGGGGAAGGGTATTACAAACCCAGGAATGGCAAATGCAAGGGTCCTGAAGGACACATGTTCTGGGTACAGCAAGAAGGCCAGAGTGGCTGGAAAAAGGTGTCGGGAAGGCATGGTCTTGTAGACATGATAAGTCCTTGGATTCGTCTCTTTTCTTTCTTTCTTTCTTTCTTTTTTTTTTTTTTTGAGACGGAGTCTCTCTCTATTGCCCAGGCTGGAGTGCAGTGGCGCTATCTTGGCTTACTGCAATCTCCACCTCCCCTGTTCAAGCGATTCTCCCGTCTCAGCCTCCTGAATAGCTGGGATTACAGGCGCGTGCCACAACGCCCGGCTAATTTTTGTATTTTTAGTAGAGACGGGGTTTTACCATGTTGGTCAGGCTGGTCTTGAACTCCCGACCTCATGATCCGCCTGTGTTGGCCTCCCAAAGTGCTGGGATTATGGGCATGAGCCACCGCGCCTGGCCCTTGGATTCATTTCTACGGACAACCCCATTTTAAGCTCTGGTGAACTTTAAGCAGGGGAGTGGCGTGATTTGATTTTTCTTTCTCTGTGTCTTAGGAGAGTGGGTCCCCAGGAGTTAGTTGCTCCTTGCCTTGCAGGGCTTGGGGTGGGGTCAGGCACGGGGGATACCCCAGCAGTGAGAACTCAGCTTCCTGTGTGGATGGCCCCTAGTTAGCAACCCCAGTGAGTGTGAATCCTTCCCAGAAACCTCTCCTCCTCACTGGCTCCCGCCCCTGGTCCAGGAGAACCAGTTCTTCAGCCCAATGAGCACCTATCAAGAGTCACGCGTCTACGTTTTGGTCATAGCTGGGGAGTGCCCCATCTACATCCTCATGCCTGATCCCGTCCCTGTCCCTGCCCCAGCCACATTGACATCCTCAGCATCCCTGCCTCCATCTCCGTCTCCCTCAGGAACCTAATTCCCACTCCACACTGGAGCCCTGAGCAAACCCAGGGCCACCCTGGGATTTGGGTTGGAGGAGACCTATTGGTAGCAGGATATGACTCAGTTTGCCCAGTCCACTGCCCTGCTTCTCACCAAGCCTCAGCAGCCCCCTGGGGACACAGGGCAAAGGGGAGAGATTAGAAAGAGGAAGCTGGGAGAATTTGCATGGAATTTGCATCTTAAGATTTGCATCTTCAGGCTCCCAG
This sequence comes from Homo sapiens, assembly GCF_000001405.40. Taxonomy (NCBI): domain Eukaryota; kingdom Metazoa; phylum Chordata; class Mammalia; order Primates; family Hominidae; genus Homo; species Homo sapiens. The sequence continues at coordinate 8,091,124 of NC_000017.11, read as the reverse complement.
CATCCTCCAAGAGTCATCGAGGTGGTTGAGGAGGGAGATCCCAGGGGGGAGATCCAGCTGGACGGCTTCTGTCTGCAGCCCAGGACAGCCAGCCCTGCCACCCAGAGCTGGGCACAACCCTCATCCTCAGCCTTCTCCCCTCTCCTCCCTCCCTCCCCACCCAACCCCTTTCCCTCCCCTACACCACGCCTTGCCCCTTCTCTCACCCTGAGCCCAAGTCAGCTCTCTTCGGATCTTCACCATAACTCCAAAGCCATCATCGATTCAATCCCCAGCCCTGACCTTGTCCTTGTCATTAACCCATTCAACTATGTTTTCGGTGTCTCCCAGGTACCAAGTATGACACCAGGAGATGGGGACAAAACCAAAAAAAAGTATGGACTAATTTATTAGAGAAAACAGACATCAATCAAAGATGTTAGCTATAGTGCTGTGAGAGCCATGTATAGTGAAATTTGGCTTTCCTGGAAAAAGCAATTATTGAGCTAAGATCAGGAGGAAGAGGAAACGTGACCTCAGTTTGAGAGGTAGAGAGGGAACAGCATGTGCCAAGGCCCTGGGATGGTGACGAGCTGACTTCACTTCCTTCAGGTCTTTACTCAAAAGTCTTCTTCCCAAGGAGCCCTCCTTGGCCACTCTGTATCTAAAATATCCTCCTTTTCTTTTTTCTGAGATGGATTTTCGCTTTTGTTGCCCAGGCTTGATAGCAATGGCATGACCTTGGCTCACTGCAACCTCTGCTTCCTGGGTTCAAGCTATTCTCCTGCCTCAGCCCCCGAGTAGCTGGGATTACAGGCATGCGCCACCATGCCCGGCTAATTTTTATTTTTAGTAGAGACGGGGTTACTCCATGTTGGTCAGGCTGGTCCCGAACTCCTGACCTCAGGTGATCCGCCCACCTCAGCCTCCCAAAGTGCTGGGATTACAGGCATGAGCCACCATGCCCGGCACTCCTCTATTTTTTATATTATCCTTCCCTGTTCTCTCTTTTCTCTTCAGCACTTATCACTATTTAACATACTATTTAATGTATTTGGTTACTAGGTAATATTGTCTGCTTCCCTCACTTGAAGGCAAGCTCCATGGGTGCAGGGGTTTGCTTTGATCGCATTGTATTTTCAGGACCTGACACAGCGCTGAACACACAGTAGGGGTTCGGCCAGTGTCTGTTGATGAATGAATGAAAGGCACGTGGTCCCAGACAGAAGAGAGCAAAGGGGAATGTGAGGGGTGAAGCCAATCAGGCAGGCCGTGGGGGCCACGGGAGGGGATGGTGTCACTGTCCCAAAGGTAAAGAGGAGCCACTGCCAGGCTTGATCAGGGTTGGGAGGAGGGAACATAGAGAGTGATGTGAACAGATTTGGGTCTGGAAAAGATCATTTCAATCCCCAACTCCAGCCACATCTGTGTCTCTAACCTAAACCTGAATTGCAGTTTCGACCCCATTCCACATCCAGTCTGGAACCTACTGGAACCTTCTCTTCATCTCACAATCCCAGCCCCCTCTGACCCTAACTTGGCCTGGGCATTGAATGACCTTCCTTCGATGGTGATGGAAGCGTGCCATCAGGGAGGAAAGCAGGGCTATGCTTCCTGGTTGACAGAAGCTGCTCCTCGGAGGTGAAAGGAAAGAGGACAGGTCCAGAAAAAGGGAATAGGAACGTGCCTGCCTCCTCACTCTCCCTGGGTCCCAAATCCTATCTTTGGAGAGTCTATCTCTGACTCTCTCATAATGCTCTTCACCTTACTCCTAACACCTTCTCCCTATCCTGCGGCTCTGACTTCTGTGATTCTATCAGCAACTAGTTCCCAATCCCAACCTCCCACGCTTATTTTCTTCAGAGCACTTAGTATCCAAAATTATAGTGAACAAATTCTTGTTTACTGTTTCTTTCACTTCTTTCCCAGCTATTCCGTAAGCTCCATGTATGTTTCATTTCTTCTCTGCCTCTGCAGTGCCTAGAACGCCGTGCACCGTGCTCACTACATATCTGAGGGAGGAACGACCTGGTTCCCAACAAACACAGTTCCACTGGAGCTCAGCCCTGCCTCCAGCCCTCTTCCTAGCTTCATTCTTTTTTGGGAGGGAAGTGAGGGTATGTACTTTATGAAATTAAAGGATAACACATAATGAAATGAATGAAGTACCCTAGACGCCCCTCAGATCAAGATAAGAACACCTCCAGCAGCCTATATGGCCTCCCTCTGCCAGGGATACTCACCAGTAGAGGTTGTCTGAGAATTGCTCAGTTTTGCTGGTTCTGGAAGTTCCTATCAATGGATAACAGAACGTATCCCCTTTAATGTCTGGCTCTTTTTGCTCAGTATCATCTTTGTGAGACTCATCCGCATTGCAGTTCATTCTTTTTATTCCTGGGTAGAATTCTATTTTATGATTATACCACAAAATATTGATCATATTAATCCATTATTTAACTTAATTCTTTTGTCTTTTTTTTTTGGAGACGGAGTCTTGCTCTGTTGCCCAGGCTGGAGTGCGGTGGCACGATCTCAACTCACTGCAACTTCCGCCTCCTGAGTTCAAGCGATTCTCCTGCCTCAGCCTCCCAAGTAGCTGGGACTACAGGCGCATGCCACCACGCCTGGCTAATTTTTGTATTTTTAGTAGAGACAAGGTTTCACCATGTTGGCCAGGCTGGTCTCGAACTCTTGAGCTCAGGTGACCCACCTGCCTTGGCTTTCTAAAGTGCTGGGATTACAGGCGTGAGCCACCACGCCCAGCTATTTAACTTAATTCTTATGCCCCAGATTTCACTCTGTCTTCTAATTTAGTTTTTTTTTTTTTTTTTTTGGGCTTCTGATTTTATATCCAACTCCAATCCCTCACCAGTGGATCCTGGCCCCACAGGAAGCAACAGATCCCCTTCTCCTACCCTGATCGTTCCTCCCCGCAGCATCTTCAGGCCTTTGGGCACCCATGTGGTCCCCGAGCCCTAGCTTCAACACCTCCCACCCTTCCAGTCACAGACTCTGGGCCCTGGGGCAGAAGGACAGGCCAGCTTTCTCACTGTGGCCACTACCTGTCCCATTTCCCAGAGAGGAATGGCCTGGAGGCTGGCCAGCTGCGCTGCCACTTAGTGCCCCTCCCCCTCCCCTCCCCCGCCCACCAGTGGCCTCAGAACCAATGCAAGTCACTCACTGCCCATGGCCCTGCTTAGTAGGGGTGCCTGGCACTGTAGCCAATGGGGACTGGCAGGAGGAAGGAGCTTATTAGTCTGATAAAGATCTGGGGACCACACCCTGCCCCCTCCCGCAACTTCCCTAGGGCCCTGGCTCAGGCTGGACTGGCTCCCCCACCCTGAAGGCGCCTTCATCCACGGCATCTTCTATCCGCCCTTTCAGAGGCAGGCCCAGTGCCCTGCCTGCTCTTCCTCCCCACCAGCTCCCAGAAGGCTTGGAGCCCAGACACCTGCTCACTCACCACCAGCTGGGCTCCGCCTGGGCCTGCCCGGCACCCACCCCGGCCACCAAGGGCAGCAGCTTTTCCAGAATTTGGCTGGCAGGCCTAGTCACCCCACCTCGCCACCTCACCACTGCACCTCGGAGGCCAGCCCTGTCCACTCCACTCTGTGCCTGGCTTCTCTTGCCTGCCTTGGGCCTTCGTGTGGCCCCTCCACGGTGTCTGGGACTGAGTGCCCCTCTTGCCTCCTGAAGAGCAGCCATGGCCACCTACAAAGTCAGGGTGGCCACAGGCACCGACCTCTTGTCGGGAACACGGGACTCCATCTCACTGACCATTGTGGGGACACAAGGAGAGAGCCATAAGCAGCTGCTGAACCACTTTGGGAGAGACTTTGCAACTGGGGCGGTAAGAGTGTGTGTGTGTGTGTGTGTGTGTGTGTGTCTGTGTGTGTGTGTGTGTGTGTCTGTGTGTGTCTGTGTGTGTCTGTGTGTCTTTGTGGCCCCGGGAGGGGTGAAGGTGCGCAGGGGGAGCCAGGTGAGCTGAGCTTGGCGAGGAGAGGCTGGAGAGCTGAGGCACAGCTCCGAAGGCAGTGGGCTCCCCAGTGGCTCTACACGCCTTGTCCAGAGCTGGCTTCCAGCCCCTCGCCCATGTCCCAGATCTCTGGGCCATCCTTCTCCATCCTGCTCCTTCATCTCTAACCCTTTCAGGCATTCCTCATCTCCCTCCCCATCCTTTTCTTCTCTCTCCCTCTTCCTCAGCCCTCTCTCCCTGTCTCTGCCTATCCTGCATCTCTCTTTTCTCAATCCTTTCCACCTGCTTTCCTTCCCCTTTGCTCTCCTCCCCTTTCTGTCTTACCCCCTCTCCCGCATCCCTCTCTCTTCCATTCTCAGTCACTCTTCCTAATTCAGCTGCCTCCTAACTGTCTCACATTTGCACTGGATTCTCTGTGACTTAAAATGGCATCAGACCAGCCTGTCCAGTGGAAGGCACGCTTTGCGGGTCCTCAGACCTGATTTTCAGTCAGACCCAGCCACCTGCTGCTAGGCGACCTTAATAGGTCACTCTATCTATGTGGCCATTCTGAATATCTGCATCTTCATTGATGAATGGGAGAAGGGGCTGGCTGGGCCTCTCCCCACTCGAAAACTGTAGAGTGGTACCCAAGTCCCCAGGGGTCTGAAGGGTTCCTGCAACCTCAGGTGCCTGGAGAGGGGAGTGGGAGAAGACAGGAGCTGGGGATGGAGAGAAGGAGGGGCTGGAGTCCTACATAGCCCTGGGTAGAGGAATCCAGTAGGAGACCCCCAAGCTGGAGAAGTCAGAAGGAAGCTCAATGATCAGGTCAATATCCTGTCCCTCCGTCAGTCCAGGGAGGTGAGCATTGCGCAGCATGAGCAGGGCCTAGGTGAGGGGCCAGAGGGGTGGGCGGCCTGGGAGCCGGGGTGAAGTCCTGCCCACTCAGCCAGGCTTGCATCCTGCCTAGGTGGGCCAGTACACCGTGCAGTGCCCTCAGGACCTGGGTGAGCTCATCATCATCCGCCTGCACAAAGAGCGGTACGCCTTCTTCCCCAAGGACCCTTGGTACTGCAACTATGTGCAGATCTGTGCCCCCAACGGCCGTATCTACCACTTCCCCGCCTACCAGTGGATGGATGGCTACGAGACCCTGGCACTCCGGGAGGCCACAGGTAAGCCCTCATCACCCTGCTCCATCCTATGGCCGTGAGGCCTCTAGCTCCAGCCTGCTACCCTGGCATGGCACCCAGGCTCCCATCAAGCCAGAGGGGGGCCCAGCCCCACCAGGGACTCCTGGGCTCTCCTGCCACTGTCACACATTTCCCTCAGTCAGTGCTGCTGCCCTGAGCTCAGCTTGGGGCTGCACATTGGAGGAAGAGAGGTGCCTGAGGCCCAGCAGCTACCCTCAGCATCCCCATCTGGCAGCAGACAGCATTCCCAGAGTGCGCTCCCCGCTACCTCTCCAGTCCTCCCTGACTCCTATAAGATGCCCGGCCACGTTAAAAATACCCCTTGTGATGCTAAGTACAGGCTCAGGACTCTCACAGGAGGCCTATTTATGATGCCAATCATATGCGCTCCAGAAAGACGCCCTGTTACTCCAGCAGGATTCTGTTACTATAACAGGATGCCCCATTATTCCAACCAGCACCTTGCTATCCCATTTAGAAGCCCTTTGAGTTCAACAGGTCTCCGTGGTGCTGCGGTCTTATAATTATGACGCCCTGGCTTTCTTTTTTTGAGACGGAGTTTCACTCTTGTTGCCCAGGCTGGAGTGCAATGGCACGATCTCGGCTCACTGCAACCTCCACCTCCCAGGTTCAAGCGATTCTCCTGCCTCAGCCTCCTGATGCTAGTTTTTGCATTTTTAGTAGAGATGGGGTTTCACTTTGTTGGCCAGGCTGGTCTCAAACTCCTGAACTCAGGTGATCTGCCTGCCTCAGCCTCCCAAAGTGCTGGCATTACAGGCATGAGCCCCAGTTTTCTAATTGAGCATTTTTTAGACTGATGGGATGTTCTATTGCTCCAAAGGACTCCCTATTTTCCCAACAGGACACCATATTTCTCTAACAGGATGCACTGTTACTCCAAAAGGCCCCCCTTAATCCAGTAAGGATCTATCTAATAGGGGCCCTGTTATTCAGATAGACTGTCAGGGTTTCTCCAAGGTTAAGGCTGGCCAAGGCTGCCCAGTGGGTTTTCCACTTGCTTGGTTACTCCCATGGGAGAGACATAGGACCGGAGTGGCTGAGCTCCTTGCACCCACCCCTGCCAGAGCCCCTTGTGTGGTGGGCTGGGGTCAGCTTCCTAATTTGTGGTGCTGCATGAGGACTGGGGGCCTGTCCTCTCTTATCTCCCAGTTCCACCACCTGAGTGTCTGTTGGCTTCCCTTGAGGCGAATGGGAGGGAAAGGCTGAGCTGAGGACACCCAGGGCCCGAAGCCCCATCCTCCCTGCAGCTGACTACCTCTCTTCCGTTTCTCATTGCCCTGTGCTGGAATCTTCCCCCAGGATTGGGGAACAGGGCCTGAGCTGGGGAAAGGAGAGGCGAGGAAAGCCTGGGAGATGGTGAGCATGCCAAGGGGAGGGTCTCACTGGGGACACAGAGCATCTTCCTGCAGTGACAGGTCTGGGTGACATGGAAGCAGGGGACAGGCAGGGTGATGCTGGTGGCCAGGCAGGAATGGGGTTGGGTGGGGCCGCTGCCACGCAACAGGACAGGGAGACTTGAGTCACCCATAGGGCCCTCAAAGGAGTGAGTCTTCCGCCCTGGGGATGAAAACGAGCTAGGTCTCTGGGTTGCACAACTCCAGGGAGCACTGTTCATCCAGAATACAACATGAGCTGAGGCAGGTGGAGGAGGGAGAGGGTGGTGAGGTAAGGGACTTGAGGGGAAATGATGGGCTGCAGCGGTAGGCACAGGCCAGCCTGGGGACCACCAGCCAGGGTGCTGGAGAAAGACGGACCTGGACTTAGGTCTCAGTTCTTCCACTGACTAGCTGGACATTTGGGCATATTTTCAAATTTTTTTTTTTGAGATGGAGTCTCGCTCTGTCGCCCTGGAGTGCAGTGGCGCAATCTCGGCTCACTGCAACCTCCACCTTCCAGGTTCAAGTGATTCTCCTGCCTCAGCCTCCTGAGTAGCTGGGACTACAGGCGAGTGCCACCACGCCCGGCTAATTTTTTGTATTTTTAGTACAGATGGGGTTTCACCGTGTTAGCCAGGATGGTTTCGATCTCCTGACCTTGTGATCTGCCTGCCTTGGCCTCCCAAAGTGCTGGGATTACAGGTGTGAGCCACCGCACCCGGCCACATTTCCAAATTCTTCTAAGCCTTGGTTCCCTCATCTGTAAAATGGAGATAACAACAGAACCTACTTCATAGGGTGGATGTGAGAATCCAATAAGATGACATCTGAACGGAGTTGTTTTTTTTTGTTTTGTTTTTGTTTTTTCTTTTGAGACAGAGTCTCGCTTCGTCACCCAGGCTGGAGTGCAGTGGCATGATCTCAGCTCATTGTAACCTCTGCTTCCTGGGTTCAAGTGATTTTCCTGCTTCAGCCTCCAGAGTAGCTGGGATTACAGGCATGCAACACCACACCCAGCTAATTTTTGTATTTTTAGTGGAGATGGGGTTTCATCATGTTGGTCAGGCTGGTCTTGAATTCCTGACCTCATGATCCACCTGCCTTGGCCGCCCAAAGTGCTGGGATTACAGGCGTGAACCACCGCACCTGGCCTGAACAGAATTTTAAAAGGCTTAACAACTGTTGGTGGTCAGAAGCAGCCCACTACGGGGCAAATCCAGCCTTGTCCCCACGTAATACATAATAGCGACTGTTTCTCCTTGTAAAATGGGCATGGGGATACAGTCCTTTAGCTGAAACTGTTGATTCCAGGGGTGCTTTGAAATTCGGATTTTATTGAGAAGCTACATACACATGTATCTGTACACATGTGTGTATGTTTATATAAAATATGTATATGTATACATATATATCTTCATCTATAAATCTATATCACACACATACCCCATATATTATGTGCTATATCTACCACAGGGCACCCCAATCAAATATACTAACACTTCCCAGTAAAAACTATGAATAGTTAGACCCAGTGAGTTAAATAAAGATTGTATATAGCCTCAGGGAGATTCACAGCAGGCTTTGTCAACCAATGAATTTGTTGTGGAACAAACAGACAAACTTGATTTCCACAGCTTTCTGTACTTTGCAGTTGTGACGAAGGGGTCACCAGCCTATAGTAATAGTCACCTGCCTCATAGGGTGCTTCTTAGGCTTAGATTAATAAAAGTAAAGTGTCTACAAAGTGCCTGGTGTTGGGGACCAGCCTCAACACCACCTGTAGGGTACCCAAAGTCCGGTGGTGACGAAGGAATGAGAAGAGACAGGTTAAGAGTGCAAAAAGAGTGGGGGCCAGGGAGGCAGTTGCAAAATGGAGGCTGCAAAAGGCCCAGAGTTCTGGTCTCCACACTATTTATTGAGTACAGTCACTTAGATCTAAGAAGCAGATGTTCAGGGTGAAACACTGAAAGGGAGGCAGTGCGTCACAGGCGTAATCTATAGCAATAGCGGTTTAAACGAATCTCCTTTGTGCTCAAACAGCACATCTTTAACTTATCGGAGAGCAGCTAGTGGGAACAGGCTTAACTAGGAGCCTGCGCGTCTGTCCACCTTCCAGGTTTCAAAGGAGTGTCTTTCTCCTTGAACACAGTGTTTATAGATAAGACAGCAGGTTAACGCTCAGAGCATGGGAACATAATGGCGATAAGAACGCTTTCCTCCTCAGAGGCCTTTTGTGACTTTCCACAGCTTACTGTCACATATTTTTATGGCCAGTTTATACAGGCACCCCACAAGCCCTTTTCCCAATACCTGGGACCTAGTAAGTGCTAAACAACTGTCAGTTATTAATATTTCAGTGGTATATACCCAAAGGAAAAGAAATCAACATATCAAAAAGATGCCTTATTTATTGTGGCGCTATTCACACTAGCAAAGATATGGAATCACCCTAAGTGCCCTAATGGATGACTGGATAAAGAAAATGTGGTATATATACACAGTGGAATACTATTCAGTCATGAAAAAAATGAAATCATGTCATTTGCAGCAACATGGATGGAACTAGAAGTCATTATCTTAAGTGAAACAAGCCAGACCAGAAAGTCAAATACCGAATGTTCTCACCCATAAATGGGTGTTAAAAAATGTGTACACATGGGCCAGGTGTGGTGGCTCACACCTATAATCCCAGCACTTTGGGAGGCAGAGGCGTGCAGATGACCTGAGGTCAGGAGTTCGAGACCACCCTGGACAACATGGCGAAACCACGTGTCTACTAAAAATACAAAAAGTAGCCGGGCATGGTGGCAGGCACCTGTAATCCCACCTACTCCGGACACTGAGGCAGCAGAATCGCTTGAACCCAGGAGGCAGAGGTTGCAGTGAGCCGAGATCATGCCATTGCATTCCAGGCTGGGTGACAAGAACGAGACTCCATTAAAAAAAAAATGTGTACACATGGACATAGCAAAACAATAGACAATGGAGACTCTCAAGGGTGAGAGGATGGGAGGGGGTGGATGATGAGAAATTACTTAATGGGTACAATATACTTTATTTGGGTGATGGGTAACCTAAAGCCCTAACTTGGCCACTATGCATGTAACAACATTGCTCTTGTACTCCATGAATTTATAGAAATAAAAAATATTTCAGTGGGTCTAGAGGAGGGACTTTTTGCAGCAGCAGAGCTTAGCTTGACAGTAGAGCAAGAGGAAAGAGGGTGGGTCCGTGATTCTTTTATCTGATATTTCCGGACAGGACGCACCTTCACTCTCCCAAGGTGAGCCTTCCCACTCCTTGGTCATGGGCCCCCCCAGAGACGACCTGGGGCACAGAAGCTGAACTCCTGCTTCCTGAAGTGGGCAGGGGCAAGGGTCAGCCCTTGAGTCCTCTCCTTGGTCTCCCTACAGGAAAGACAACAGCAGATGACTCGCTCCCCGTCCTCCTGGAGCACAGAAAAGAGGAGATCAGAGCCAAGCAGGACTTCTACCAGTGAGGGGGCGGGTGGCAGAGTCTGGGCGCCCGGCAGGGGTCCAGGGAGGTGGGGGGCAGTGATGGCTCTGGCCCTTTGCCCTGGGGTGGTGCACGGGCATGAGGGTGACATCTCGGTTTCCCTTGCAGCTGGCGAGTCTTTCTTCCTGGCCTGCCCAGCTATGTGCACATTCCCAGTTACCGCCCTCCGGTGCGGAGGCATCGCAACCCCAACCGGCCTGAGTAAGGACCCGAAGCTGTGCTGGGCCCCGCCCATGGTTTTCCCCTGGGCGCCTGCCTCCTCCCCGCCCCCTGGATCCCAGTTGCCCTGCGCTTCTCCCCACAGGTGGAATGGCTATATTCCGGGATTCCCAATTCTCATCAACTTTAAGGCCACCAAGTTCCTGAACTTAAATCTCCGCTACTCCTTCCTCAAGACGGCCTCCTTCTTCGTCCGCCTGGGGCCCATGTGAGTCCGTGTGAGTGACGGGAGAACGAGGGCTCCTGCAAGAACTTTCCCTCTCCCCCAACCTTGGCGGCCTCCAAGACAGCCCCAGAGGTTGGAATGGCCAGGAAGGCAGAGGGAGCTGAAACGCAGACCCAGAAAACCTGAGACATGATCCCAGAGACCTAGAGATGCAAAGATCTTGAGACATGGGACCCAGAGACTTTGCGACGCACAGACCCTGAGACCCAGAGACCTAAGTGGATGGGGCGGCCCCGCCACCTGCCCCAGCCGGCGCTTGGCAGCCCCTCTGAAGGCCTCTTCCTGGAATCCCATCTCCTAGGGCACTGGCTTTCAAAGTCCGCGGCCTGTTGGACTGCAAACATTCGTGGAAGAGGCTGAAGGACATTAGGAAAATTTTCCCTGGCAAGAAATCTGTCGTCTCCGGTATGGAATGGGGCGTCCCGGATCGAGCAGGGGGAGCCAGGCGGTCTCCGGCGTGCTAGGCAGGCCCCCGACTTCGGGGCAGTGGGACGGGAGAGGCAGCGAGGCGCGCGCGCGCCCTCTGGCGGCTTCTTGGAAAATGTCGCACCGGGCTCCTCCGGCCGCTCAGCGCCAGGCTGGGGGCCTCGTTTTCCTCCCCGACTCCTCTCGGTGCCCATAGTCTTCTTCTGTCCCATGCCTCTCCGTCCCCGAGGGGGGCCGGGCCTCCTTGTGACGCCCTCGCGCCGTCCTCGCAGAGTACGTGGCCGAGCACTGGGCAGAGGACACCTTCTTTGGGTACCAGTACCTCAACGGCGTCAACCCCGGCCTGATCCGCCGCTGCACGCGGATCCCAGACAAGTTCCCCGTCACAGACGACATGGTGGCTCCGTTCCTGGGCGAGGGAACGTGCTTGCAAGCGGAGCTGGAGGTGAGGCCCGCTCCGGCGGAGACCCCGGCCCTCCTCCCGGCCTCCCTCGCGGGCATCCCCGTCTCTCCCCACCTCCGGCGCCCGCGCCAGTCCCAGGCAAGCCCGCACCCCGCGTCCCTGTCCCCGTCCCACCCCTGCCCCTAGTCGCCAGCGCCCTGTGCACCTGCGGCGCGGGTCACGGGCTTCCCGTGTGGGTGCCTACTTGCCACCCATCGCGGCTCCCCTCCAGAAGGGGAACATTTACCTGGCCGACTACCGCATCATGGAGGGCATCCCCACCGTGGAGCTCAGCGGCCGGAAGCAGCACCACTGCGCCCCCCTCTGCCTGCTGCACTTTGGACCCGAGGGCAAGATGATGCCCATCGCCATCCAGGTGCCTGGGCTGCAGGCGGCGCTGCCGCTGAGCCTCTGTGTGCGCGAATGCTCCTCCGAGTGTGCGCGCGCTTATGTGAGCGTGTGGACCTGCATGTATTCAGCCGTCTCTCGTTATCCTTGAGAGATTGGTTCCAGGACCTCCCCGGGATGCCAAAATCTGCAGATGCTCAAGTTTCTTATATAAAATGTCCCAGTATTGCCGGACGCGGTGGCTCACGCCTGTAATCCCAGCACTTTGGGAGGCCGAGGCGGGCGGATCACGAGGTCAGGAGATCGAGACCATCCTGGCTAACACGGTGAAACCCCGTCTCTACTAAAAATACAAAAATTTAGCCGGGCGTGGTGGCGGGCGCCTGTAGTCCCAGCTACTCGGGAGGCTGAGGCAGGAAAATGGCGTGAACCCAGGAAGCGGAGCTTGCAGTGAGCCTAGATCATGCCACTGCATGTCGCTCTGGGCGACAGAGCGAGACTCCATCTCAAAAAAAAAAAAAAAAAAAAAGTCCCAGTATTTACATATAACTTACACACATCTTCTTGTGTGTTGGGATCACAGGCGTGAGCCACCGCGTCCAGCCTGGGCACATTTTTCTAGTTCATACAAAAGCCCGGTATGGGCTGGGAGCAGCTCAGGTTTGTATGCCCGAATAGGCTTAGGTGGAGATGCACCTTGCAAGGCTCAAGGACCGCCTTGGCAGTTCCCCGCCTCTCACCTGCTTGCTGTCTTGGTCCCCTGAGGTACAGAAGTACAAAGTGCGCTGCTCAGCGGAGCTGGGTGAGCTCTTGCTGCTGCGTGTACACAAGGAGCGCTACGCTTTCTTCCATGTTGCACTCCTGGGCTCAAGCGATTCTCCCGCCTCAGCCTCCCAAAGTGCTGGGACTACAGGCGTGAGCCACCTCGCCCGGCCCTCTTGTGTATTTTCAATCCTCTCTAGGCCCGCTCTCTAGGCCCGGTGTGGTGGCTCACGCCTGTAATCCCCAGCACTTTGGGAGGCCGAGGTGGGCAGATTACCTGAGGTCAGGAGCTCAAGACCAGCTTGGCCAACATGGGGAAACCCCATCTTTACTAAAACTACAAAAATTAGCTGGGCATGGTCGGGGGCGGCGCCTGTAGTCCCAGATATTCAGGAGGCTGAGGCAGGAGAATCTCTTGAACCCAGGAGGCAGAGGTTGCAGTGAGCAGAGATCGTGCCACTGCACTCCAGCCTGGTGACAGAGCAAGACTCCTTCTCAAAAATAAATAAATAAATAAATAAATAAATAAATAAATAAATAAATAAAATGAAATAAAATAGATCCTTTCTGGATTTCTTATAGTACCCAATACAATACAATGTAAATGCTATGTAGATAGTTGTTACACTGTATTGTTTAGGGAATGACAAGGAAAAAAAGTCTGTACACGTTCAGTAGAGACACTTTTTCTCCCAGAATATTTTCCATCTGTTGCTGGTGGAATCCACTGGTGTGGAACCCATGGATACGGAGGGCCAGCTGTACTTGTATGCCCCTATGTGTGTGCATCTGTGAGTGTGTGCATGTATATGTGTCTGTGGGGTGTGCTTGTCTCTTTGACTTCATCCATCCATCCACCTGGAAAACCAATCCCTGAAGGGGGTCAGGTCCCTACTGGAAATACTGAGATAATTAGACTTAGCCTCTGCCTTGGGAATCTGGTCTGGCAGAGGAAGGAACTGGGTGTTTCCTTCCCAGAGGTCCCCCCAAGCGTCATGTGCAAGTTAGAAAGAGGCTCCCTCTGGGGGGATGGGCCAGAGCCCCAGAGCCTGATGCTCCTGGCTCCTTAATGGAATAGCGTAGGCTGATTTCAGTGATCTGCCTGCCCCCTGAGGGGCTAGGAATCCTTGTGCAGTGCACAACCTGCGCACCTGAATGTGGTGGAGGTGTGGCTGAAGTAAGGAAGTCTTGCCAGAGAAGGCAGCTTGTGAGATGGTTCTTGAAGAATAAGTGGGAGCTGCCAGGTAGAGACAGGGGCAAGAGGAAGGTACTGCAGTTGAGCAGAAGGAACAGCAAGATCAAATGTGGGGAGGGAGGAAAGGCCCAGGGGTGCTCAGGGGACCAGTGGGACCGGAGCTTAGGAGTGTTTTCACCTTCTCATACTCCCTTCTGCCTCCTTCCTGCGGTGGGGCCTTTATGTGTGTGGGTCTCTGCCCTCACCCAACCCTTTCTCTTTCACCACACCTAGCTCAGCCAGACCCCTGGGCCAGATTGCCCCATCTTCCTGCCCAGTGATTCTGAGTGGGACTGGCTGCTAGCCAAGACGTGGGTACGCTATGCGGAGTTCTACAGCCACGAGGCCATCGCCCACCTGCTGGAGACACACCTCATTGCTGAGGCCTTCTGCCTGGCCTTGCTGAGGAACCTGCCCATGTGCCACCCCCTCTACAAGGTATGGGCTTGGGAGAAGGGGCCTCCCCCAGGCATCATGGCCCTCACCTGGCCTCCGAAAACCCCCAGGCCCACTGAGCAGTCAGAGAGACTCCAGTCAGCCTGGGGGGCATCTGGGGACCACAAGAGAGGGCTTGGCATAGGGACTTCCCAGAGTGAGCAGATCTGACGTTACAGAAATGGGGAGCTGAGCTCCTTTGGGGGCCACTTCAGCCCTCTCTCTTCATCCTCCTTGCTCTCCCCACAGCTCCTCATCCCCCATACCCGATACACCGTCCAGATCAACAGCATTGGCCGGGCCGTTCTCCTCAATGAGGGGGGGCTCTCTGCCAAGGTAAGACTTCTGCCCCCAACCCCAACGAGACATTTGTTTTCCTCTGGCCTTTTCAGTTAGATGAAGAGGAGGACTTCCCATTTGCCTTTGGGTCATCATGAGGGGGCATGAAGGGAGGGAGCTGGATGAAGTTGGTTCTCCTGTCTAGAAAGGAGCAGAGGCAGGGCTGGTGTGCTGGCCCAGAGCAGGATTGTTCCTGGAGGTGGGGTGGGCTGGGTCAGGGGTTACAGGGGCACTTACTGGGATCCTAGAGGACCTGAAGGGGTTCCAGGGATGCCTGTCCGGCTCCAGGATCTGCCTCCTTCCTCACAGGGCATGTCCCTGGGCGTGGAAGGCTTTGCTGGGGTGATGGTACGGGCTCTGTCGGAGCTCACCTATGACAGCCTCTACCTCCCCAATGACTTTGTGGAGCGTGGGGTCCAGGACCTGCCTGGATATTACTACCGCGATGACAGCTTGGCGGTGTGGAATGCACTGGAGAAGTGAGCTCAGGACAGCAGTGGGTGGCTCTTAGGGTGGACAACCTGGGATGTTGGAGAGGGTGTGGGGAGCTTCTAGAGAACTGAGTGTGGGTCTGGTGTCATCCAGGGGCTTGGCCTTGGGGAAGGGGCCTGGGGTCTGTGTGTCCATCACACCTACACCCTCAGCCCAGCAGGCCCCTTCCTTGCTTGGGTCCCCAGCCCACCTCTGCTGGCCAAATCGCTTCTGGGATCTGAGATGCCTGTAGGCCTTGCCCATCCCTTATAAGGGAGTGCTCTGGGTGTGTTCTGACCTTGCCAAGCCATCCTCTCCACTTCTGCCCCACAGGACTTGCCCTCCCACAGGCCTGGGGCAGCTCTGGGGCCAACTGAGGTCAGGGCACCCTGGGGGAGGTGGGAGAAGCCTGGCTGAGGAGTGGGAGGGGAGGAGGATCCAAACTGAGGCCCTGTCCCCTGGTCAGGTATGTGACGGAGATCATCACCTATTATTACCCGAGTGACGCAGCCGTGGAGGGTGATCCGGAATTGCAGTCTTGGGTGCAGGAAATATTTAAAGAGTGCCTCCTGGGGCGGGAGAGCTCAGGTATGGGCCTGGACACCTGGGCAATCAGGGGGAGCTGGGACTGAGGGGCAGCCCCCAGGCAGGTCTGCTAGGGCCCTCCTGGGCTGGATCAGAACATATTTTATTGTAGACTGAAGGAGACCAAATTGCTGCCCTAGGATTTTGACAGGCTCTTCTCTGGCCCCTGGAGCAGTGGCATCTCAGAGAGGTTGGGGAAGAAAACATGGCTGGCAATGGGTCCCTGTCTGAGATTAGGGGCTGTGGGTCATCTCTGCAGAGACCTGGAGGGGTCCCAGCCCCACCCCAGAAACAAATCTTTGTGGACTGTGAAATGGGGTATGAGCTCCAACGGGAAGGGGCAGGAGGCCAGGGAGCTGGCAGCTCCAGGAGAAGGGTGAAAGCGCCCTGAGGTCCCGCCACCTGGGTACACACTCAACAAATATCCAGTGAGCATCCACAGTGCAACACTGTGCTGGTTATTGAGGAGGCAAAAGGGAAAAAGACAGTGGTGAAGGTGCCTGCCTTCAAGGAGTTCACAGTCTGGGGTGGCAGGTACTTCCCTAAAGTAAGTTGTGGGGAAGCCCAGGGAAGGCGCCTAACCCACTTTGGGAAGGGGTAGTGGAGAGAAGACAGGGCAGGAGCAGCAAGCTAAGATCTAGCTGAAATCTAACTTCTTGGCTAACATCTAGCTAAGATCTGCAGGATGGAGAGGTTAGCCTCGAGATGACTGAGGATGGGGACGGAGAGTTCCGCATGGGAGCAGTATGTGGAAAGTCGAGAAAGCCAGAGAGAGCATAGGGAGTTCCAGGAGCTGCTTACTGTAATCATGTTCTCTGCAACTGGAGCTTAGGGTGGGACGTGGGGAGGTTCCCAATGGGCTGAGGCTGAGGCCGTGAGCCACGGCCAGGCTGCACAGCCTGGTTAAGGGCCAGAGGGATCCAGGGAGGGTTTTGCAAGGAGATCAGACTTGTATGCTAGAATATCAGGCTGCACTGGCAGTCAGGAGACAGTTAGGGAAGCTGTTGTGGTGTCCAGGAGGGAAGACTGGGGACCTGACTAGGGTAAGAGCTGTGGGGATGCCACAGAGAATTCCAGAGCTAGAAATGACAGGACTGGGTGATGGTTTGAGTTTGGTGGTGAGGGGAGGAGGAGGGGAGGGAGGGGCCAAGGGCGACTCCACGTTTCAGACTTTTGCAACTGGATACGTGATGTAGGTCATCCATTGAGCTGGGGGCTAAAAGGAGGAGCGGTTAGGGAGGAAGATGATGGGTCTGGTTTGAATATGTGGGACTTTTGGAACCTGAGATCACCATGGCAACCAGGACACACCGGACAACAGGAAAGAGAAGCAACCTGAGGTTCACACGGGACAACAGGAAAGGGAAGCCAGCAGCTTGGTAGGGAAGATGTGTGGGACTGAGAAATCCATCTGGAGTGGGCACAGAGTCTGGAAGGAGGTGATGGGAGGGAGTGGAGAGGGGGCGCTGGGTTGAGTCGGGGCAGGACTCTTCCGAAGGAACCCAGGAAAGCCTCCTGCCTCTCCCAACATCCCCAGGTCTGGGACCGGAGCGGCATCCCCAGGGAAACTGGAAGAGAGATCTGAGGGCCACTGGTTAGACAGGGGCCAGGAGCAGCCCTGGAGGACTTCTGGCCAAGTCCTCCGTCCCCAGCCTTATGATCTGGGTGAGGGGAGATGGGGTTGCTGCCATAGGAGGGTCACGCAGGCAGGATGAGGGTACGGATGCGGCAGCTTGAAGCTTTTGCAAAACGGTGAGAGCGGGGCATGGTGGCGCCCTCTGCCGGGCAGCCAGTACCAGGGCACGACTGATGTCGCCTGGGCTTTTCCCCCGCCGGTCAGGCTTCCCTAGGTGCTTGCGAACCGTGCCTGAGCTGATCCGATATGTCACTATAGTCATCTACACCTGCTCTGCCAAGCACGCTGCTGTCAACACAGGCCAGGTACCGGTGGTCTCACCAACCCAGGCCCAGCCCGAGGCTCAGACCTTCTAAATTTCGTCCATGCCCCAACCTCAAACCCAGCCTCAGCCATAATCCCTGGTCCAGCCTCAACTTGTTCCAGCTTCAACTCCAGTCCCAACGGAAACCGAGCCTCAGCCCCAACTCTCAGCCCCAGCCCCACACCCAGCCCCACCCCCAGTCTAACCAACCCAGCCCAGCCTCAGCGCCAAGGGCGGGGAGTCCATCTCAGCGACTGGAGGGCGGGTGGTCAGCACCTGGTGGAAGGAAACTCCTGAGGTACTCTTCCACCCAGACCCGCGCCTCTATCCCACCTCCAGATGGAGTTCACCGCCTGGATGCCCAACTTCCCAGCGTCCATGCGGAATCCACCGATTCAGACTAAGGGGCTGACCACTCTGGAGACCTTCATGGACACGTTGCCGGATGTGAAGACCACGTGCATCACGCTGCTGGTGCTCTGGACCCTCAGCCGAGAGCCTGACGACAGGGTGCGAGACGGGATGGGGGACTCTGAGCACAGGGAGGGGACCAGAAGCCGGGGATGGGGGAGGATAACTAGCGGCGTCAAGAGGGGAGCAGGGAGTGAGAGGCCACTGAAACCAAAGGGTGGAGGGGCCAGGGCCACCGGCAGGAGGAGGGGGTGCTGGCCGGCCCTGGTCCCAGCTGTCGAGCTCTCTGCCCGCAGCGGCCCCTGGGACACTTCCCGGACATTCACTTCGTGGAGGAGGCCCCGCGGAGGAGCATAGAGGCGTTCCGCCAGCGCCTGAACCAGATCTCACACGACATCCGCCAGCGCAACAAGTGCCTTCCCATCCCCTACTACTACCTGGACCCGGTGCTGATTGAGAACAGCATTTCTATTTAGGAGCGCGCTTCCCGTCTCTCCTCTCCCCATTCTGTGCCCTACTATTTTCAACAAAACAAAACAAACAAGCAAAAAACACAAAAACCTCAGAGACCAAAACACCAAACAAACAAAAAAACAAAAAACCTTCCTTTCCCTGGGTCTGGCTGTGAATGCGCGCGGCAAGTTACTGGGGCGCTGGCGGCAGGGCTGGCGCCGCGGGGTGCAGGTGCAGGCTGTGCCGCGCGCTCTCACCGCGATTCCGTTCTCTGCGGCCGCGGGGTTCAGGTAGGAGTAGGGCAGCGCCAGGCCCCGGCTCCACTCCAGGACGTCCGCCGAGATCTGGGCCAGGCGGCTCTGCCGCGGGGCCTTCTCGGTGAAGTGCTCCTCTGGGTAGGTGTCCAGGAGGGGAGACCGAAAGGCTGGGACCTTGGCCGGCTGCATTTTCAGCCCACAACGATTCTGTTCCAGCTTAAGTCTCCCTCCCAGGGGACTTAGTCCACCCAAGCCCAGCCCACGTAGGGGTCCTGGAGCACTCCAGACCCATCCAACTTGAAACATAAAACACCCGCCCACCTAGACAAAAGACTGCGGGCCACAAGAAACCCAGACCACCCCAAGCCCGGCTCACTCTGAAGCCCAGACCACTCTAAACTCCCCCTACTAGGAATCCACAGCACCCTAAACCACACCCACCAGCAACCTAGTGGCCACAAGCCCTGCCACCTAGGAGCCCAGCCTGCTAAGCTAAGTGCATCCTCCTAGTAGCCATTGTCCCCAGGATCCCTTCCTCAATGTTCCCACTCTCTAGAAGCTGAGACCCCAGCCATCCCCACCTGGGCCTTGCTTATGGTGGCCTTGGTTCCATTGCTGACCCCCCACAGGAGCAGCAGGGGGTGGTGTGTGGCATCGACCGCAGGGAGTGAGGCTGCTTGTTCTGTCTGGCCCTTGGCGGTGGGCAGGGCAAGCCACAGGATGATAGGAATATTGGGGATCCAGTCACTGAATTCAGACCGACCCCCGCAAACTCAGTACAGAGCTTCCAGTGCTGCTAGGGCTGCTCCTCCCGTGACCCTGCTTGTCCCCCTGGTCTGGCAGTGGCTCACCTGGCCGCTGTTGATGGCAGCATGTTGGGCTGAGCAGGTGACGATGATCGTCGTGAAACACCGGATGAGCCCAGCACAGTGGCCCAGGGTGGAGGGGACCCCCTAGATGGGAGTAGGGTAGAGAGAACAGAGCTGAGACCCAAGAGGCTGCTGCCCTGGGGCAGTGGACGCCACCTCTGAGAGCATTTGGCTTGGAAAACCCTCCTGGAAGATCTCCCTGACCCAGGCCTGGAGCTCTGAGTCCCTGCTCACTGCCGTATCGTCCGGGTAGTAGATGTTAACAATATTGGTCCCAAAGCTGGGGGGTCGGGAATACACGGTGACTAACAGCCGGGAGCCAACACTGCACAGGGGTATGGGTTGGAAGGGGCCACTGAGACCTGCTGCCCACAAAGGGGGAAACTGAGGCCAAGGAAGGAAAACGGCCAACCACAGAGTGAACTGCAGAGCCGAGATCAAACCGGGAGGCTGTGCTCTTCACCATGCCATGCAAACAGAGGCCCGAAGGCCATGATTGATCTGCAGATGTGTTTTGATCAGCTGGCAAGGTTTTTCTGTTTGTTTTTCAAGTTGAATCACTTGCCAACGTTTAAATATTAGAAGATGTCTGGTTTCTGCTGAAAAATCAGAAGATCTGGTCACAGTGATAGCTGGGTCACCACTGTCCCCATCAGACAAACATGAGTTTCCCACTGGCCACGGTCCCTGCCCACTCTTCTTCCTTAGCTTTTCTCTGCTCACTGGTCCTGCAGGCATTTGGATTCCAACCCACAGGGAAGGATGAGACACCAGGTCCATCTGCCTCAGGACCGGCTGATTGGGTTCATCTCATCCACTGGTTCCCAAAGGGCCCTCCATCCCCAGCCATAGTAGGATGTGCAGACCCCTGCTGAGGAAGGAGCTCCTGCTGTGGATGTTCATATAGGGGGAGTCCCTGAGGTCTTCAAGGGGGAGGTGGGACATGAGTTGGGCTTGAAGCAGGGGCAGAATTTGAATTGGGAGAAAGGGAGAAATTAGGGTGCCTCGTCTCCCTAGGCCCAGTGTGTGCTGAGGTGGAAGAATGGAAGTAGGGGCAGATTTCAGAGGGGCTGAGCTGGCAGGGAATGCAGCATTGCATGTGGCGAGCCACTGGGCACCACTGGAGGCTAATGGGCAGCGGCACCGCCATCAATCTCGGTGCTGGAGGGAGGCCATTATGCAGGCTGGTGGCAGGAGCTGGGAACCCGTGGGAGGCCAGATATTAAGAGGATCTGGCCATTGGGGTGGAGGCCACAGCTATACCCCAAGGCAGTCTCCTATGAGGAAGATTTCAACGGAAAAACCTGGAGACACAGTGACTTTATCTATGGGGTGAAAAATAATCTTTTTTTTTTTTTTTTGAGACCGAGTTTTGCTCTTGTTGCCCAGGCTGGAGTGCAATGGCACGATCTTGCTCACTGCAACCTCCGCCTCCTGGGTTCAAGTGATTCTCCTGCTTCAGCCTCCCCAGCAGCTGGGATTACAGGCGCCCACCACTACACCCAGCTAACTTTCGTATTTTTAGTAGAGATGGGGTTTTGCCATGTAGGCCAGGCTGGTCTCGAACTCCTGACTTCAAGTGATCCGCCCACCTCAGCCTCCCAAAGTGCTGGGATTACAGGTGTGAGCCGCCGCGCCCGGCATAATAATCTTAATAGCTAATCTCCGAGAGCACTTTCTGTGCACTGGGGTTTGTTCTTAGGGTTTTGGATTGAATAAGAATAATAAGCTATACCATAGGTGCTCTTATTACCCCATTGTCAGATGAGGAAACAGGCACAGAGAGGTTAAATAACTTCCCAACACAGCTGGGAAGGATCAAGAGTAAACAGGAAGGGCTTGGAGACAGCAGTGTGTTTGGGAAGGAGGCTGGGGGAAGGTTGAATAAACCAACAGGGGTCTAGCCGAGGGTGAGAGGGTTGGAGCCCTCAGGCCCCAGGGGAGTGTCACCTCTCTATGGCTGCCCAGATCTGGAGTGTAGTAGCGGGCGAGGTCCTGGACCTTGAAGTCAGCCAGCTGGTGGGACAGGTAGAGGGAGTGGTAGCTGGCAGCTGCCAGCCCTTTGGTGATCAGCTCCAGGCAGCCCATCTGTCCCAACAATGTTGACTGTAATGAGCAGAGAGCCCACTCCTGCTGCTAGGAGGGGCTCTGGACCAAATCTCAGGCCTCCCCAGGCCCTCTGTGCTCACCCCAAGATCCCAGGCCTCCAGGGCCTTGACCTGGTGGATGAGCTTTCCTGGTACAAAGAGCCCAGTGCGGGCTGGATGTTGATGTGGAAGGTGCAGAAGAAAGGGGAAGCCGGAGTCAGAGGTCAGATCAGGCAGCCCCGGGTCTCCCACAGCTGTGGGCACTGAGAGGAGGGCTCCTCCCTGCCTTGAAAATGGGTGGCTCATGGGCAGCTGCCACAGCATGGACAAAGCAAAAGCTCCACCACAAAGTGGGTTTGAAGTAGATGAGTGACCGTCTTGTGCAACAGGAACTTTCAGGGTCACACCCAGGTCTTGGCCAGGAACCAGTCTTCAGCTGGGGTCACTGGGCAGGAAGATGGGGCTGTCTAGGCTGGGTGTCTGAGTGAGCTGGAGTGGGGGCACAGGAGAGGGCAGGCATTGGGCAGAAACTGGGGAAGGGCAGCCCATCACCACGTCCATGGGGCCAGAATAAGGGAGGAGACCACCCCTCATATTGTCTTATGCCCAATTTCTGCCTCCAAAGAAAGAAGAAGTAAAAACTAAGGCAGAAATGAAATCCACAGGCAGGCAGCCCTGCGCCACACCCCGGGCCTGGTAGTTAAAGATCAACCCCTAATCTAATCGGTTATGTTATCTGTAGATTACAGACATTGTATAGAAAAGCACTGTGAAAATCCCTGTCCTGTTCTGTTCCGTTCTAATTGCCAGTGCATGCAGCCCCCAGTCACATACCCCCTGCTTGCTCAATTGATCACGACCCTCTCAAGCAGACCCCCTTAGAGTTGTAAGCCCTTAAGAGGGACAGGAATTGCTCACTCTGGGAGCTCGGTTTTTGAGACGCGAGTCTTGCCGATGGTCCTGGCTGAATAAAGCCCTTCCTTCTTTAACTTGATGTCTGAGGGGTTTTGTCTGCGGCTCGTCCTGCTACAAAATCACACGACTTTTGACCAGCTGTGTGAACTTGGGAAAGTTTATTAACCTCTCTGTGATTCAGTTTCCTCATTAGTAAGACAAGGTTGATGAGAATAATCTCCTTGAGAGGTGAAGTGACCCAAGGCATCGTGTTGGCTGACTTCCCTGTACCAGTCCAGTCATCCAGAGCCCCAGTTGTGTGGGGCAGACTGGAAGGATGGGAAGGGACGGTGTGGACACCTCCCGAATGGGTTATGGTTTTAACTATTAGGAACACGGTTGAACTGCCAAAGGTGCGTGACTTAGTACAATCGATTCTGACACCCTGTCAAGGGGCAATTTGTTCTCTTGAGTATCATAAACTTTCTATCAAGATGGAAATCAAAGAGGACAAAACAGAAAGACAAACTTGAGAGGGGCTGAGTAGGATTGGAGAGGTGATGTCACCAGGCACAGTGGCATTGGGAGGAGGCAACCTTTCAGTCATCCCGAGGATGTAATAGACTTCCCCTACCCCACCCACCAGCCCACCGAGGCCCTGCCTGGCTGACCAGAATGACAAGGGATAGCAAGGGCCTGTTGCCGTTGGGACGCTGGTGCAGCAGGATCAGGGGTGCAGTCATGAACTAGGGCCTCCCATGAATGATGCTGGGGTAGAGGCCTGAGAGGATGGCATGGTCCACCAGGTACAGAGAGCCCCTTTAGAGGAGGAGTGGAGGAGGAGGAGGGCTGAGCAGGCTTGGGTGAGGAAGGGGGAGTTATTATGAACCTGGGAGTATTTCACTTAAAGGAACTTCATTCTCTGGAGCCAGTGGGGTGTTCCAACTCAGAGCCACTTTGTGGTTCCAGAGAAAGAAGCCCCTCCCCTCTTCCCCCACCCAAGTATTGAAGGTGACTCTACTGTGGCCAGGCCCAAGCATCAGTGAGAGACAGTGAGAGAAGCGCGCCCCGCTGGAGGTCAGCACGAAATGCACCCTCCTGGGGTCGCAGCACACCCCATCCCAGTAGCCCAGGGAGGGGAGAGCAGCAGCTCTGGGGGGCACTCAGATTAGCTGCAGAGCATCCTCGGAAACCATGGCAACCAACGCATCACTATAGTTTCTGTGCTGGGAGGGCCTGTCAATGCATGGCTCCTGGCAAAGTAGCAGGAGAGAGCACATTCCTCACTCAGCCCTGCCCCTCAGCCCTCACCATCTCAGAACAATGCCCCTCCCTCCACTGGCGCCCGCTCAGCCTGCAGACTGGTCCCAGGGTCCAGCGCAGGGACCATCATGGCATCAGTGACCAGAAAATTCTTTGGGAGTCAGTGACAGCAGTGGATCAGGATGGAGTTGAGGTCATTCAGAAACTAGGAGGTGAAGGAGGCGAAAAAGGTGTCCTCATCCTCCTTCTAGTCTGAAATGCATACTCTGCAGAGGGTAGGCGTGGGGAGAGTCACCCTGGTCCTCTGCCTGCAGCATGGCCACCACTGTCAGACCCATCTCCAACTTCCCAGCATAGCCACTTCCTGATGCTGATGGCTGGGCTGGGCTTCCCTCCTCTCTAGCACAACGGGTTGGATGACTTTACTTTTCCAAGTGGTTTTCTTAGACAACAAAGGATCGCAGGTTTGGTTTCTGCCTGAGGAGTCATCTGAACTCCCTTGGCCCCACCCGTTTTGAGGGAAGCCTAACATGCTCTGTGATGTGCACTAAGACC